>NC_000017.11:6703232-6854747 GCF_000001405.40 Homo sapiens | reverse complement strand
TGGACAACTTAGTGAGACCGCATCTCTAGAGTAAAAATACATATTTATATTTTTAAAACTTTCAGAGAACTCAACCTTCCATGGCCCAAGGTCTTTCCCTTGGTCCTAATTGCTCTCTAGCCTTTCCTTGTTAGACCACACCTGCCCCCTCAAAAAACAATTACTAGCAGAACTATGAGAATTCCCTACTCTATAAGGGCAACAGAAGACTCCAGTGAAGTTAATTCAGACATGATTTCAGAATTCAACCTTGAATGCATGTCTCACAACTTAAAAAGTACAGGAGTTACTTACAATAAAAATCTACTTCACCTGGAGATCTTAAACCGGGGCTCTCCAGGATTATGGCTGCCTCTGCTGAGTCATGCAGGTTGTCAGAGAAGCAGGGGAAAGCCGGCAGTCACAGGCCTCCCCCAGATCCCACGCACACCGAAGGGCTGGTCTCACTCCCACCGTGTCCCCTGCAACACCTCTGAGTCTGTTTCCAGACAGAGGACGGGCTTGAAAACTTGCCCGAGGCTTTCCGCCTCCCACCTGTGAAAGAAAAGGGCTTTAGTTCTTCCCCCACCTGTGAAGTCTGCAAGCCAGATCCGCATCCTCCCCCAAGTTCCGGCCAGGAGGCTTCTCGCCCCACTCAAATTGTTACAAAATTCAGCTAGGGAAGTCCTTCTCCCGGTAGGGTTTTACCTCCTGCTCCTCTGGCCTCCCTCCTGATGAATCCCAGTGGTGCCAGGCAGGAATAGGCTACCTGGGGATTCAAAGAGCTCCCAGGGCCTCCCTGCTGCCTCCTCTGCCCCTGTATTTCGCTTGGTCCGGTTCTCTAACTTGACTCAGCTCCAGGTGAAGTCGGGAGCATCTCCCGGAAGCAGACCTTCAGCTTCTCCAGTAGGGGGTGTGTGTTCCGGAAAGGAGGGTCTCCCTTTCCCACTTCCGCAGTTGGGGCACTCACAGTATTTGGGGTGTCCCCCGGGTCCTGCAGGAGCAGTCTGCTTCTTTCAGAGGGTCTGTGGGCCCTCTCTCAAAATATTTTTTTAAATATTAAAAGCAGCTGCTGATAGGGTTTGTCCCCACCAAATACCATGTTAAAATTTGATCTCCAGCGTTCAAGGTGAGGCCCGGTGGGAAGTGTTTGGGTAATGAGGACAAATCCCTCCTCAATGGTTTGGTGCCTTCCCGTTGGTAATTAGTGAGTTCTTGTTCTATTACGTCACGTGAGAGCTGGGCTGGTTGTTTAAAAGAGCCTGGCATCTCTCTAGCTCACTTTCTCACCGTGTGACATGCCTGCTTCCCCTTCACCCTTCAACATGAGTAGAACCTTCCTGAGTCCCCTATCAGACATAGATACTAGTGACATGCTTCTTGTACAGTCTGCAGAATCATGAGCCAAACAAACCTCTCTTCTTTTTTTCTTTTTTTTTTTGAGATGGAGTCTCGCTCGGTAGCCAGGCTGCAGTGCAGTGATGCGATCTGGGCTCACTGCAACCTCCGCCTCCCAGGTCCAAGTGATTCTCCTGCCTCGGCCTCCGGAGTAGCTGGGACTACAGGCACGTGCCACCACGCCCAGCTAATTTTTTTATTTTTAGTAGAGACGAGTTTCACCATGTTGGCCAGGATGGTCTCAGTCTCTTGACCTCATGATCCGCCCGCCTCAGCCTCCCAAAGTGGGAGGCCCCTCTTTTCTTTATAAATTACCCAGCCTCAGGTATTCCTTTATATTAATAGTAATGCAAAACAGACTAACACAGATGGAGAAATGGATTCCAGCTTTACTTATTAGAAGCTATACCCTAAAATGCGTTGAGGGGGAATACCAGTAAGTACCAAGACAAAGAGCTCTCAGAGAACCCCCCAAAGATCCAAGCCTTGGAGTTACCCGTTTCCTAGAATACATGAAAGTGAGAAATACCAGGACTGGCTAAAAGTCTATATATGGAACAATGCCCAACCCACATACCCCACCTTGCACGGAAGATACACCTTTGTCAAGACCCTAGAGTTTTATTCTCTGGAGAAACTGAAATGAAGAGGGTCTGAACTTAGAGCATTAGGTACAGAGATCAGTTCGATTGGGGGATAACGTAAAATGGGGATAACGTCAAAGTCTGCAAAATGAACAGTGAAGCCCCATCCTTTTTCCCGCTCCCTGCCCCTAGAACATCAGGAGCCAGGTGTTGTTCTGAATTCAGGCAATTGGAAGAATAATCTATTAAAAAAAAATTCTGGGCCGGGCATGGTGGCGTAATCCCAGCACTTTGGGAGGCTGAGGTGGGCGGATCACAAGGTCAGGAGATCGAGACCATCCCGGCTAACATGGTGAAACCCCGCCTCTACTAAAAATACAAAAAAATTAGCCGGGCGTGGTGGCGGGCGCGCCTGTAATCCCAGCCACCTGGGAGGCTGAGGCAGGAGAATGGCGTGAACCCGGGAGGCGGAGCTTGTGGTGAGTAGAGATCTCGCAGCTGCACTCCAGCCTGGGCGACAGATCGAGACTCCAACTCGAAAAAAAAAAAAAAAAAAATTCTGAATTGCCCCAGAGAAAATATCTCCAAATATCAATATCTGGGGATGCCCCAATAATCACCACCAGACTACTCAGAAAAATTTACAAGCACCACTTGTACACATAGAGCTTCAGGTCTTTCTTTTTATAGCCAGTATTTTCCTGAGGATAGTTCTTGCTCTTGGTCCTTTACTAGTTGTTAACTTGAAACACTGTGAACATTTTCAATGAGCAAAGGCAATCTTTATTTCAGGAATAGTGTTTCTAAGTTTTCTGTGGATATATAGTGCCATTTGTTCTATCTTTCCTGGAGTATACTTTGCAGATGACTCTCAAATCTGTGTGTCTAGCATGGACCTTTCCCTCAGCCCTGCACATTCACACACAACATCTTTTTCTTGAGGTACCTCCAGCTAGTGAAATGCAAATTAAAAAAAAAAAATTAGTCACTGCTCTCCCTCTGACCCCTCATTATTACTGTCACCATATCATTTTCCTCATCTACACTGGTGTTTTGGGTAATATTATTCCCCTAGACATTCATCCTACAAATTTTCAGTCAATTCTGATTCTTCTAACTCTTCTTCATCCTTCCCTCACCACCAAGCCACTGATTCAGCGTTTATTGAATTCCCCACAGCTGTCTTTTCCTTGCCCTTCCCACTCACCTTTCCCTCATTATCATCTCCTATTTGGACTGCTGATGTACTGTCAGAATTGGCCTTCTCACTCCACTACTTTTCTTCAATCTTCAAACTTCTGCCAAGTTAATCTTTCAGATGACCAGCTCTGATCATCATCCTCCCATATCAGAAATCAACATTGGCTCCCTGCCATCACTGCAACCTAAAAATAAACAACAAACAAACAAACACCTTTCCAAATGCAGTGCATAGATTAATCTTCCTATACCTCCTTTTTAATGACAAAAAGTAATACATTTCTGGGAAGACAGTTTCAGTGGAGGCAGCATAGAATTTGGATCTTCCTGGATATCCACATAAAAACAGACAGAACTAGATAGCAAAATCAAATACTCATGAATCACATTTACAAAAAGCTAGACAAGTAATCCCTGCAAACTCCAAAACAGGACAAACCACCAACAGCCATAAGACCTATGTGTTATCCACATCTCACCTGTGCAAGAGAACTTGGAAGAAAACAACAGGACATATGACAAACCTGAAAATGGTAAAATTGTAGTAGGCCAATTTGGGAACAACAGCTGGAACTAGGAGGGAACATGCCCATTTGTTTTAGGCCATTCTCGCACTGCTGTAAAGAAATACCTGAGACTGGCTCATTTACAAGAAAAGAGGTTTAATTGGCTCATGGTTCTACCGGCTGTACAGGAAACATAGTGGCTTCTGCCTCTGGGAAGGCCTCAGGAAGCTTCCAATCATGGAAAAAGGCAAAGGGGGAGCAGGCACATCATATCCTGAAGGCAGGAGCAAGGAAGAGGGGGAGAAGGTGCCTGATATGGTTCGGATCTGTGTCCCCACCTAAATCTTGTGTCAAGTTGTAATTTTCAAATGTCAGAAATGGGACCTGGTTGGAGGTGATTGGCTCATGCGGGTGGATCCTTCGTGAATGGTTTAGCACTATCCGTTGGTACTGTTCTTATGATAGAGTTCTCATGAGATCTGGTTGCTTTAAAGTGTGTGGCACCTCTCCCCTCTCTCTCTCTTCCTCTGGCTCCAGCCATGTGGCTCTCCCTCCACCTTCCATCATGATTTTGTTTCCTGAGGCCTCCCAGAAGCCAAGTAGATGCCAGCATCATACTTCCTGTTCAGCCTGTGGAACCATGAGCCAATTAAATATTTTTTCTTTATAAATTACCCAGTCTCAGGTATTTCTTTATAGCAATGCAAGAACAGACTAAAACAGTGTCGCATACTTTTAAACGACCAGATGTCAGGAGAAGTCACCCACTAGCGCGAGAACAGCACCAAGGAGATGGTGATAAACCATTCATGAGAAATCTCCTCGACAATCCAGTCACCTCCCACCAGGCCCTACCTCCAACAATAGGGATTATAGTTTGATATGATATTTAGAGGGGACACAGATCCAAAGCCTATCACCACTGTAATAGCAAGTAGGTGCCAGGCACAGTTGATAAGATCTAAGGACCTACGGGAACTCCTGAAACTGGTCAGCCAAGGCTGTCTTCCAGGATGGAGCGGAACACTTCAGAGAAACCCTTGGAAAAACTCAACTGAAATAAATGAAAGAAAAGATCCAGAAAAGCACAGGGTGGGGAAACAAAGCCAGGAAATCTCCAAAAGCAGGCCATCATGTTTTTGAACATTACAAGAACAAAAATGGATGGGGATCCAAGAAGTTAGATGTGTTATCTGAACAAGCTTCTTTTTATTAACATGGAAAACAAAATTCACATAAAAATGGCAGTAGAAAAGTAGTGAAGTCAAATCCCATACAAAGTTACTATAAGAAAAGAGACAATAAAGGGCAAAATAATATCATTACACAAAACAAAAGCACAACGGAAAGATGAACAAAAACCAAAGCAAAGGATCAGAAAGAATACTAAAAGCTGTAATTCAAGAAAATGAGGGGGAACTTGGCAAGATAGCCAAATAGGAACAGCTCCGGTCTGCGGCTCCCAGCGAGACCTATGAGGAAGATGGGTGATTTTTGCATTTCCAACTGAGGTACCCAGTTCATCTCATTGGGACTGGTTAGACAGTGGGTGCAGCTCACGAAGGGTGAGCAGAAGCAGGGTGGGGCGTCGTCTCACCTGGGAAGTGCAAGGGGTCAGGAACTCCCTCCCGTAGCCAAGGGAAGCCATGAGGGACTGTGCCATGAAGGACTGTACTATTCAGCCCAGATACTATGCTTTTCCCACGGTTTTTGCAACCAGCAGACCAGGAGATTCTCTCAGGTGCCTACACCACAAGGGCCCTGGGTTTCAAGCATAAAAGTGGGTGGCCATTTGGGCAGACACTGAGCTAGCTGCAGGAGTTTTTTGTTGTTGTTGTTGTACCCCAGTGGCACCTGGAACCCCAGTGAGACAGAACCTTTCACTCCCCTGGAAAGGGGGCTGAAGCAAGGGAGCCAAGGTGGTCTTGCTCAGCGAGTCCCACCCCCCTGGAGACCAGCAAGCTAAGATCCACTGGCTTGAAACTCTTGCTGCCAGCACAGCAGTCTGAAGTCAACCTGAGATGCTCGAGCTTGGTATGGGGAGGGGCATCTGCCATTACTGAGGCTTGAGTAGGCGGTTTTCCCCTCACAGTGTAAACAAAGCCACCAGGAAGTTTGGACTGGGCAGAGCCCGCCACAGTGCAACAAAGCCGCTGTAGCCAGACTGCCTCTCTAGTTTCCTCCTCTCTGGGCAGGGCATCACTGAAAGAAAGGCAGCAGCTCCAGTCAGGGGCTTATAGATAAAACTCCCATCTCCCTGGGACAGAGCACCTTGGGGAAGGGGCAGCTGTGGGCACAGCTTTAGCAGACTTAAATGTTCCTGCCTGCCGGCTCTGAAGAGACCAGTGAATCTCCCAGCACAGCACTAGAGCTCTGCTAAGGGACAGACTGCCTCTTCAAGTGGGTCCCTGACCCCCATGCCTCCTGACTGGGAGACATCTCCCAGCAGGGGTTGACAGACACCTCATACAGGGGAGCTCCGGCTGGCATCTGGCAGGTTTCCCTCTGGGATTAAGCTTCCAGAGGAAGGAGCAGGCAGCAATCTTTGCTGTTCTGCAGCCTCTGCTGGTGATACCCAGGCAAACAGGGTCTGGAGTGGACCTCCAGCAAACTCCAGCAGACCTGTAGAAGAGGGCCCTGACTGTCAGAAGGAAAACAAACAAACAGAAAGGAATAGTATAAACATCAACAAAAAGGACGTCCACACCAAAACCCCATCCAAAAGTCACCAACATCAAAGACCAAAGGTAGATCAATCCATGAAGATGGGGAGAAGCCAGTGCAAAAAGGCTAAAAATTGCAAAGGCCAGAACGCCTCTTCTCCTCCAAAGGATCACAACTCCTTGCCAGCAAGGGAACAAAACTGGATGGAGAATGAGTTTGACAAATTGACAGAAATAGGCTTCAGAAGGTGGGTAATAACAAACTCCTCCAAGCTAAAGGAGCATGTTCTAATCCAATGCAAGGAAGCTAAGAATCTTGAAAAAAGGTTAGATGAATTGCTAAGTGGAATAACCAGTTTAGAGAAGAACATAAGTGACCCAATGGAGCTGAGAAACACAGCATGAGAACTTCGTGAAGCATACACAAGTATCAATAGCCGAATCAATCAAGTGGAAGAAAGGATATCAGAGATTGAAGATCAACTTAATGAAATAAAACGTGAAGACAAGATTAGAGAAAAAAGAATGAAAAGGAACGAACAAAGCCTTCAAGAAATATGGGACTATGTGAAAAGACCAAACTTACATTTGACTGGTGTACCTGAAAGTGAAGGGAGAATGGAACCAAATTGGAAAATACTCTTCAGGATATTATCCAAGAGAACTTCCCCAAACTAGCAAGACAGGCCACATTCAAATACAGGAAATACAGAGAACACCACAAAGATACTCCTCAAGAAGAGCAACTCCAAGACACATAATCATCAGATTCACCAAGGTTGAGATAAAGGAAAAATGTTAAGGGCAGCCAGAGAGAAATGTCCAGTTACCCACAAAGGTAAGCCCATCAGACTAACAGCGGATCTCTCTAGAGAAACCCTACAAGTCAGAAGAGAGTGGGTGCCAATATTCAACATTCTTAAAGAGAAGAATTTTCAACCCAGAATTTCATATCCAGCCAAACTAAGCTTCATAAGCAAAGGAGAAATAAAATCCTTTACAGACAAGCAAATGCTGAGAAATTATGTCACCACCAGGCCTGCCTTACAAGAGCTCCTGAAGGAAGCACTAAACATGGAAAGGAACAACCAGTAGCAGCAACTGCAAAAACATACCAAATTGTAAAGACCATCGACACTATGAAGAAATTGCATCAACTAACGGGCAAAATAACCAGTTAGCATCATAATGAGAGGATCAAATTCACACATAACAATTTTTTTTTTTTTGAGACGGAGTCTCGCTCTGTAGCCCAGGCTGGAGTGCAGTGGTGCGATCTCGGCTCACTGCAAGCTCCACCTCCTGGGTTCACGCCATTCTCCTGCCTCAGCTTCCCGAGTAGCACCTGCCACGATGCCTGGATAATTTTTTGTATTTTTAGTAGAGATGGGGTTTCACTATGTTAGCCAGGATGATGTCGATATCCTGACCTCGTGATCCGCCCACCTCGGCCGCCCAGAGTGCTGGGATTACAGGCCAATGGAACAGAACAGAGGCCTCAGAAATAACACCACACATCTACAACCATCTGATCTTTGACAAACCTGACAAAAACAAGCAGTGGGGAAAGGATTTCCTATTTAATAAATGGTGTTGGGAAAACTGGCTAGCTATATGTGGAAAACTGAAACTGGACACCTTCCTTACATGTTATACAAAAATTAACTCAAGATGGATTAAAGACTTTAACGGAAGACCTAAAACCATACAAACCCTAGAAGAAAACCTAGGCAATACCATTCAGGACATAGGCATGGGCAAAGACTTCATGACTAAAACACCAAAAAAAATGGCAACGCAAGCCAAAATTGACAAATGGGATCTAATTAAACTAAAGAGCTTCTGCCCAGCAAGAGAAACTATGATCAGAATGAACAGACAACCTACAGAATGGGAGAAAATTTTTGCAAGCTACCCATCTGACAAAGGGCTAATATCCAGAATCTACAAGGAACTTAAACAAATTTACAAGAAAAAAACAACCCTATCAAAAAGTGGGTGAAGGATATGAACAGACGCTTCTCAAGAGAAAATATTTATGCAGCCAACAAACACGAAAAAAAGCTCATCATCACTGGTCGTTAGAGAAATGCAAGTCAAAACCACAATGAGATACCATCTCACGTCAGTTAGAATGGCGATCATTGAAAAGCCAGGAAACAACAGATGCTGGAGAGGATGTGGAGAAATAGGAACATTTTACACTGTTAGTGGGAGTGTAAACTAGTTCAACCACTGTGGAAGACAGTGTGGCGATTCCTCAAGGATCTAGATCCAAAAATACCATTTGACCCAGCAATCCCATTACTGGGTATATACCCAAAGGATTATAAATCATTCTACTATAAAGACACATGCACGTATATGTTTATTGCAGCACTAGTCACAATACCAAAGACTTGGAACCAACCCAAATGCCTATCAATGATAGACTGGATAAAGAAAATGTGGCACATATACACCATGAAATACTGTGCAGCCATAAAAAGAATGAGTTCATGTACTTTGCAGGGACATGGATGAAGCTGGAAACCATCATTCTCAGCAAACTAACACAGGAACAGAAAACCAAACACCGCATGTTCTCACTCATAAGTGG
The DNA here is from genome assembly GCF_000001405.40 of Homo sapiens. Taxonomy (NCBI): domain Eukaryota; kingdom Metazoa; phylum Chordata; class Mammalia; order Primates; family Hominidae; genus Homo; species Homo sapiens. The sequence goes on along the minus strand of NC_000017.11, from coordinate 6,845,818 downwards.
GAGTTGAACAATGAGAACACATGGACAGACACAGGGAGGAAGAACATCACACACTGGGGCCTGTCAGGGGATGGGGCGCAAGGGGAGGGAGAGCATTAGGACAAATACCTAAAGTAGATGATGGGTTGGTGGGTGCAGCAAAACTTCATGGCACGTGTATACCTATGTAACAAACCTGCACATGTACCCCAGAACTTAAAGTACATAAAAAAAGAATCTAACTCTTGATTAATGGATATAACACCTTATTTTATTTTTCTGAAGAAATTGCTTATCAAATTTTTATTTTCACATTTTTTTCTACGTCTTCCATCATTTCTGCTTTCTCCAAGTTCCTTTTTCCTATTTGTTTGGATTTCTTTCTTCCAAGTTGGAGGCTGTCTTTAAACATTTGGAGATCCTGGGCTGCCTGTTTCTGTCTAAGTGTGACTCACTAAAAAGATGAATGAGAACTCTGAGGGAGTAGGTGAGGCTTGTCCACAGAAGGACTTACAACAAGGTCGCTGGACAGCAAACTGGCTTTTAAACTGGGGCGGGACTCCAAGATGTCAGAATGTGGGGGTCTTTTCTCAGGAGCCATTCAGTTATCCAGAGAGAATGTGTCAAACCTCCTGCTGGCAGTGAGGGTGGGGAGGCGTGCAATGGGTGGGTGGAGACAGCTGGGGTGCGCCTGCTGTAGGAGGAGGAAGGGGGTCCATCCTCCCCCTATACAGGCCACTTAGCCCCCCTGTTTTTAGTCCCATGCCTTATGCCCACCTTCTGTAGATTTGGATCTCCCCGTCCTCAGCACCTAGAGTTCTATAAGACCACCTCGCTTCTGCTTATTAGTTTCCTCATCTGCAGGGAGCCAGGTAGTGATCCCCAGCTCTGCCAAGTCAGCTCCTGCTCCTCTCCCTCTTCCAGATATTTGTGGGACTCTCTCATCCATGTTCATCTCTTCCCTCATTTTATCACCTTATGAGTTTATATATTCTTGATTCCTTTATTGCCATTTCAGTGGAGTTTTGGAAGGGGGAAGTGAGCAATCTGCCATGCTTACTCAGAAGTGGGCTGCATTTTAAAAACAAAATCGGCTGCATTGCTCAAAGATGAGGGAGGGTTTAGGAAAACCAATTTGTGTACAAGACATGCTTTCTCATGCATATATGTACGCAGGCCTTACATGATGAAACTCCTGTGAGAGGGGCCAGCCTGTGAAATTCCCAGATGGTGAACATAAGCCCCACCTCATTGAATTGCTATGAGGACTAAATGAGCTAACACAAGTAAAATGCTTAGCACAGGGCCTGGCATTTGAGTTCTCAAGGGATAGCAGTCATGATTATTCGGATAGTTTTGGGATGAACTTGACTAAGGGCTCTGGGGATTTAGGTGAACTTCTCTTCGTCCTCTTCTGTGCCCTGAAGGAGGAAGCACCTTCTGCAGGCTTCTCCTGGGAACCCCACCAGCCTGTGGATCTCAGAGCTCTTTGGAGTTTGAGAAGAGAATGGGGAAATCCCTCTGCTCTTGACAACCCTGACACTGCATAATCGGCATAAATGGGGGATCCCAGCTCAGACAGGAATGTTCTCGTTTCTTGGCATGAACCTGTCTTTTTGCAAACACAGTCACTTTTTGTCTGGCCCATCAGCCCTCCTCCAAAGGTTTCTTCTACTCAGTCCCGCCATACACATCGTTTTCAACATTAAAGTCACCCTTTAATTCGTAACAAAGAGATATGGGTTCTAGTTCTGTCTTTGCTACTAATTGCCTAGAAATAGCTCAAACTTGGGATCTAGATTTGATGTGCCCGATTTGAATCCCAACTCTGCATGAGCCATGTCCCATGGGCAAGCATTCAGTCCTCTATGGGCCTTGGTTTCCTCGTCTATCAAATGAAGATAATAATAGTTCCTAACTCATAGAGCTACGATGGGGCTGAAAGAAATAATCCACGTAAAGCGCCCAGCCTGCTACTCAGAGTTCAGATAAAGCTAGCTGTAAGGATCACTATCTTTCCCAATTTAGACTCTCCCACAAACTTTGTCAGGCACAACTTGAGGTGAGGAATCAGAGGAAATGTGATTTCCTTGATTTTGTCTGTAGCTTTTACTAGACCACATAGCAACCGAGCAACATAGCAACTAATGAAAGCAATTCTGTATAGTTCCAAGTCCAGGAGCTTACTTTTTCAAAAGTATGTCATTCACACTTAAAAAACTCCCCAATCTTTTTGAGTAGCTTTCATGTCATGTAGAAAAACTCTTTACGGTAAAAATGGTGTTTGATTTTTGTTTCTGCTCAAAGCAGTTCTTATCACAAATTTAAAAACTGATCACAAACGTCCTTGGCTCTTCTGAGCCTACTGTTTTATAAACGAGTTACCATACTGCCCTCTTGTGGAACATATTGATTTCCTTGAGTTAAAATCCTTGCTTAGATTTAAAATAGGACTCCCGTTTATAATTTATCATTCATAGTATTAGGCTCATCGGAAAGTATGCTTTATCCACATATTTCACAAAGCTCTTTTAAAAATTAATTATTATTTCATTTTCAATTGTTTGAACTTGGATACTTTATGTTCACTGATTCTGTCTTCCTACAGCGATTCTAGCTGATGGGTATGTCAATTCTGTTCCTCGAGCTTCCTCTGGGTTCAGAGGGCTATTCATAAACTAGTCCACAGCAATTCAGGCATAGTGGGGAGAGCAGGCCACAGGCCACAGGCCAATTGTTCTGCAGGGGTTGCGGTTAGAACTCAAGGAAACTGCCTGAAAGCCTCCTTTGTGCCAGCCCCCATCCAGCCTCACCCCAGCTGGAGGTGCTGATGATCCTAAAGAGGATCAGAATATGCCACCCCCAAAATATGCTACCTTGGCAGAAGAATATTTTGAGCTATAGGCAAGGAAGAAACAACAAATGCAGTAAAAGTTCTCTGCCTTCCCTTATCTGCCTAAATGCAGGACCTAAATTTTGCTTTGAGGAAGATGCCCCTCTATACCCGGAAGAAAAAGAGTGACTCTTATCACTGGTGATGGGAGTTGCATTCAGAAGAATCTGCATAAACCAACCTTATGGAGATAACTTTAATCTTCTATTATTTTCTCCCATATATTCCTAAGCACTTTCTCACAATTTATAACCCCAGAAGCCCAAACATTCTTTCCTTTGTCCAGTCACTTATCCATAATTTATCACCCTTTGTGAAAGTAGTATATAATTTCTCACATCTAACCACGTATTTGAGTTTCTACTTCTCTTTGTGAAGCTCCTGTGCACATAAAAATATTAATATCAATTAAAATTGTATTATTTTTCCTTTGTTAATCTGTGTTTTATCAGCTTAATTTGCAGGTCCCCAGGAATAGAACATAAGAGAGTATGGGATAAAGGTTTCCTCCCCTCTAATCCCAGGTGTGGAGTTGGTCAGCGGAGGGGCAGGAGGAGGGTCAGCAGCCTTGATGCCCCTTTCCAGGAGAGCTTCTTGCAGTGGGTTCGGCTCTTGAAAGTCACCTGCTTCAGCAACCTCAGCTGCTGTGCTTGACAAATGGCAAAAGACAAGACACCAACCACATGAGATCCCAGTGCACATTACCTGCCTCATCTTGACTTTCAGGTGGCTTTATGTGCCTATGCAGTGTTGCAATGTTAATCCTCAAGGGTGAAATCCAAGCTGGTTTATCCGCAGAGCTACCAGGGCCAGTGGTGATGGTGAGCAACGAGGCACCAAATTTCTTCTCCTAAAATACAGAGGATCTGTTCAACACACTCGCAGTCACAGCACAAAAAGCTATTCTGTATTAGGTCAGCAAAGGAAACCAGTCCAAGTGCAAAGGCAATTTTAGATCTATGTCCTGTTTCCTGTGGAAACGCGAAACTAAAGGGAAGCTCACTGGTAGGACAGAGCGAGCACCCGTGAAGGTGCAGCCTTTTTTAAACTTAAGTTCTGATTCAGCGGCGGGTCCTGCGAATCCATCCTTTAACAAGCATCGCCTGCGGGAGGGGCTCTGATGCAGAGTGTAGGAGGGCTGCCTGTATTCCGAGAAACACTGGATGGTGTCTGCCACGATTCAATAGCAGACATTATTACAATTATCAGGAGACTTTGCCAAATAGTAAAATAAGAATAAATATATTTACATTTCCCAGGGTTTGGCCCAATCAGACTTTGCTTGGCTCACATAAATGCCAGCACATAGGTATTTGCAAACAATAAACATATGTTTAGCATCCTAAACTCTACTTTGAAATAAAACATTAAGGAATAGTCATGATTTATGCAATTAGTAAGTCCATAATTAACACTGAAGACTATTAACAATAATTAACACATAATTTTTACTATGTAATACTAATTTTATTTTTATTTTTATTTTTTAGTTGTGTTTTTGGGACAGAGTCTTGCTCTGTCACCCAGGCTGGAGTTCAGTGGCGCGATCTCGGCTCACTGCAAGCTCCGCCTCCGGGTTCACGACATTCTCCTGCCTCATCCTCCCGAGTAGCTGGGACTACAGGCGTCTGCCACCAGGCGCGGCTAATTTTTTTTATTTTTAGTAGAGACGGGGTTTCACCATGTTAGCCAGATTGGTCTTGATCTCCTGACCTAGTGATCCGCCCACTTCGGCCTCCCAAAGTGCTGGGATTACAGGCGTGAGCCACTGCACCTGGCCGTAATACTAATTTTAAAATACCTTTCACGACTCAAGGGATCAGGCAGTTGTTCAAATTTTTCTAAAGGCCTGAAAATTTTCTAGAAGGCTTACACCAGCATCCATGACTATCTTCCTTTCTTGAAAACTGGACCTTCAGATCTTATTAATGTGTTTGATAATTTCATCATAAAGAAAAAAGACAACTGCAATGTGCAAACATACTCTGCCATAGCATAGAATTGTTCTTTGTAACAAAGTTTGTTCAACACAAACTTTATATGAAAAATAATGCCCTTCAAGAAAAAAAAAACTCTCAAAATATACTTTTCTTGGAAGCTTCTGGTATTTGTATGGGAAATGAAATCCAGTTTAACCATATATATATATGTATATTTTTTTTGCTTGTGAATTTTAAAAAAGATTACTGAGTGCCTATTTTGTTACAGGCACTCTTCTCAGTATTGGCTTAGCACCATCTTTAAAGCAATTTTCAGTGAATATAATATATATTGATTATATATTATACACTTCCTTATTGACTAATATAAGATAGAATAGTTAATTTCAAAAAAAAAAAAAGTTTTTTCCTGGGCATCATTTTAACAGAAGTTCTGCTTCCTTTTCTTTCATGCATAGAAAATGTGTTTTCTCCTAATGCAGAGGAGTGGGGATGCTTTTTCTGCCCCTGAGTGGCCAGGAGAGAACTGCTTTCTCTTTGTCTATGAACTCAAGGGCCAACATTATTCTAGCAACAGTAGGACAGGTGGCAAAAGTGTTCTGGTGTCCTAGTTGTCGCCATTAGAAAGTTCAGGCAACTAGAAAGTTCCCTGAGGTCATGCCCTGCAAGTTATATACCTTACATAATGAGGCACTGGAGAGAGAGCCCAAAAATTCCCAATTAAAAATAGGCAAGCTAGGTGAGGTGGCTCATGCATGGAATCCCAGCACTTTGGGAGGCTAAGGCAGGAGGATCACTTGAACCCAGGATTTCAAGACCAGGCTGGGCAACATAGTGGAACACTGTCCCTATAAAAAATTTAAAAATTAGCAAGATGTGGTGTCATGTGCCTGTGGTCCCAGCTACTCAAGAGGCTGAGGTGGGAGAATTGCTTGAGCCAGGAGGTCAAGGCTGCAGTGAGCCATGTTTTCACTGCTGCGCTCAGCCTAGGCAACAGAGGAAGACTCTGTCTCAATTAAAAATATATGTGCAAAAGTCAGTGTGTTTTGATGTCTTTCTTCAAATCACTTAGCAGAATTCCTGCTGTTTTCATTTACATTAGATGCTTGAGACAGTTTTCAAGTGAAATATTATTTTTAAAGTCCAAAATCCCAAATTGCTTTCAAGGTGAATAAAAGGATTTTAAAAGATTGTAACAATTTTATTTCTGTGATGATCACTGAATCTAAATTCTTCATTCTCTAGACAGGGAATCCATCTAAGAATTAAATGGAAGGGAAAAAATATATATTTTTAGTCTGTGATTAGGGGAAATAGCTCATGAGATAAGAACTGGATATAAATGGAAATATGTTCAGGAGGAATGAAAAATAGGAAATTTCATCAGAGAAATAGAAACTACCAAAACACAACCAAATGGTTGCATTCTAGAACTAAAAACATATGATATCTAAAATATTAAATTCACTGGATGGGCTTATAGCAGGATGAAAACGACCAAAAGAAGTCAGCAAGCTTGAAGACAGAAACATAGAACTTATCCAATTTGAAGAACACATAGAACAAAGATTAGAAAAAAAATAATGAGACATATCTTTGGACAAAATGAATGCCTTTTGGAGGGAAAAAGGAGCCAGAGGAATAGGAATGGGAAGGAGATTTACTTCTCACTGTATTCCCTTTTATATTTAAAATTTTAATTCTCAGTGTGTATTACTGATTTAACAGGAAATAGATACATATTGAATTTTTATGCCCTAGCCCTACCTTCAATGACTGAGTGAGCAGGTCTAAGAAGAACTTTATAAGAAGGTTTTTGTTTGCTATTGATATGAACTGCTAGTTAGGAACTACAATCCTGTGATATACGCTGTTTTTATCACTTATTTGTTATAATATGCTGCCTTGTAAATAAATATCCCTGAGTATGTTAAGACACCAAGAACCTTAAAGAGAAAGGAAGGACAGAAAATACGTATTGAGCATCTGTTGCAATTTGCCTACTGATATGGTTAGTATCAATATGGTGGAGGTAATTGAATCTTGGGGATCGTTTCCCCATGTTGTTCTGATAGTGATTGTGAGTGATAGCGAGTGAGTTCTCACAAGATCTGATTTTTTTTTTTTTGTTTTTGAGACGGAGTCTTGCTCTGTCACCCAGGCTGGAGTGCGGTGGTGCAATCTCGGCTCACTGCAACCTCCACCTCCCAGGTTCAAGTGATTCTCCTACTTCAGCCTCCTGAGTAGCTGGGATTACAGGTGTCTACCACTATGCCCGGCTAATTTTTGTATTTTTAGTAGAGACGGTGTTTCACCATGTTGGTCAGCCTGGTCTCAAACTCCTGACCTCAGGTGATCCACCCGCCTTGGCCTCCCAAAGTGCTGGGATTACAGGCGTGAGCCACCGTGCTCGGCCAAGATCTGATGGTTTTATTAGAGGCTCTTCCTTCTCTCTGCACTTCTTCTTCCTGCTGCCTTGTGAAGGTGTCTAGCTTCCTTCTTGCCTTCTGCCATGGCTGTAAGTTTCCTGAGGCCTCCCTAGCCATGCTGAACCGTGAGTCGATTAAACCTCTTTCCTTCGTAAATTACCCAGTCTCGGGCAGTTCTTTATAGCAGTATGAAACTGGACTAATACACATACATGATTTCATTTAATCTTTATAGTGCCCTATGTGGTAGATATTGTGTTCATTTGTCACAGATGAGGAAACTGAGATGCAGAGAGACAAGCAGTTTGCCCAACATCACACAGCTGGGGCTGGGCATAGTTGTTCATACCTGTAATCCTAGCACTTTGGGAGACTGAAGCCAGAGGATCGCTTGAGACCAGGAGTTTGACACCAGTGTGGACAACATAGGAGACTGTGACTCTACAAAAAAAAGAAAGAAAGAAAAGAAAGAAAGAGCCAGGCATGGTGGCAGGTGGCCATGTGCCTGTAGTCCCAGCTACTCAAGAGGCAGAGGTGGGAAGATCACTTGAGCCCAGGAGTTGGAGGCTGCAGTGAGCCACGATTGCTGCCACTGCATTCAGCCTGGGCAACAACAGAGCAAGACCCTGGCAAATAAATAAATAAAACTAAACATCCCCCAAACAAATGGACAAACAAACAAAAAACAAGGGAAACAAATCCTGCAAGTAGTATAAGCCTGAACTGGACTTGAACTTGGGTCTGATACCAGAGGCTGATCCCATGCTACCTACCCCAAAGCACCTAGCACTGTGAGATGCAGGGAGCAGAGCTTAAGAAGGGACTTGTTAAATGATGGATAAATAATGCAAACACTTTCTGATATATAGGCACTCAACTACTATTATTCAGGAAAACTACGAAATTTCTATTCATTATTCTGCCTGAATTACTTCTGGGGCCTCACTGCAAGAAGAAACAATGGTTAGGAACTGGAATTAATCCAAATGTAGGTTATGTAATGGCTTTACCAAAGCACCGATTTGATTTCGGCTTTCTTTACAGCAAATGACCAAATGTAGTGACTCTTTTAACTGGCTAGTCCTGACCCGGTTCATAGCCTATCACTGTAACTGAAATATTCTAGCCCTTTGTCTTATTTGTTATAAGACTTTCTATCTTGTTCCTACTTATCAATACTGGTCTAGAACTAATTTTAATAATAATAAAATAAAATTCAATTATTATTTTTGCAAAGGTAGTACATACATGTGTATGGTTCAAAGTGTAAAAGACACAAAAGGGTATTCAGTGAAAAGTCTCCTTCTACCACTCTCCCTGGACACCTAGTTTGCTTCACAGTCAGCCAAGGTCACCAGTTTCTTGTGTATCCTTCCAGAAATATTTATGCATTTACAAGCAAATATGTATATATGTTTTCTTCCTCCCCTCTTATTTATAGAAATATTTTTGAGGACAAAATAGATAATATCAACCTTTCTGCTTCAGCTACTCAGGAGGCTGAGGCAGGAGGATCACATTGATTTTTTATTGTTTTTCACTGAAAATTATCCTTTAGAGGTCATTTCGTTTGGCTACAAAAGGTCCTTCCTCATTCTTTTGTAGCTTCATGGTTTCCAATGGTAAGGATGTGCCATAATTTGTTTAGCAAGACACCTACTGATGGGCATGTAAGTTGCTTCTAGTCTTTTCCTATTACCAGCGATGCTGAAATGAATAACATTGTGCATGCAGGTGTCATTTTAAAGCCATCTCACCATTTCTTTCTTGCTTACTTTTGATTATATTTGGTCTTGTTTTTGGAGTACTTGGTAAAACCCTGAATATGTTCAACATTTGGTTTGGTTGCCTACAAAGCAGCCAAGAGCAAGCCTTCTAAGCCTGAACGAGTAGATACATATTCCCTGAGTGTCTCCAAAGCAAAAACCTTAGACCCTGAAAACAAAATAGTTTCATAAAAGTTACTCCAGTAATTTTTTGAGATGAGGCACTGCTCATCATCCTCAAATTCAAATTGCCAAAGCAGTCAAGATCCTGTTGTGATTCAAGAGCCCAGACTTCCAGACGTAGGAGACAGCCTGGAAACAAGGCTTCTGCTCAGGACCTTGTTGGCTGGGTGAAGAAGCTTACAGGAGAGCCCGTGGAGGCAGATGGGGTGCTCAAAGGATCACCCACATGGCTGGTTTTTCTTTAAGGAGAACCATACAGCAAGTGATGAAGGGCAGGAAATGGCCACTTTGCTCAAACTCCTGGAGGCAAATAGGAACAAGACTTAAGAAAGGTCTAGTCAAGCCTCCAACGTTACACATTGAAAAGATCATTATGCACTACCTTGAAAAGGACTAACCTGTCTCTTAGGAGCGTGTGAGTCAATATAGTGCTCCGACAATGGGTATAGTGGTTAGCATTGCAGGCTCTAGGGTCAGGTAATTAAAATCCGCCCCCTCCTTTTTTTTAACCATTTAGTAGCTGTAAGTAACTTCTTTGTGCCTCCTGTCTTCTAAAAAATTGGGTCATTAATCATAGCTCTCCTAAAGGGCTGTGTGTAGATTAAATGGGATAATATCTCCCAAGCACAGTGCCTGGCACATAATACATGCTTGATAAATGGTGGTTGTGGTGATCATTCGAGAAACAGGAAGCATTTCACCACTTAATTCTATACAAGAAGCTACTTTAAAATATCGTGACGACTTCTAGAAATCAATACATGTTGCACATATTCTTGACTATCTTGTTTCTAGCCTCAGGATTTTGATTTATTTTGTACTGTGGTGTCAATTACAGAGAAAAGCCACCTTCTAGAAATGAGAAATGGGGACCCTGAATGGAGCCTTGCTTGTGAACTGTGCCGGGACATCCTGGTGTGTGCCATACAGTCCTGTAATTGATCAGTGTCTTATGAATCTTTCCCATTTTTTTATTCCTTGTTGATTTGCTGTGAACACCTGAAAGAAAGATGGTGGAGAACATCTCTTCATCCTTACTGGCAGTGAAAATCTGTTATTTCAAAGGGGAAGCACATGCTTTATATCCTTTTATTCCCCTAAGGGCCTCTTAAAAGCACATCACAGTTATTTGGTAGGTTAAAATTCCAATGAAAAGCTTTTAAGTTATCATGTTTGTTAATTGCTAATTTGGGGTTAGCGTCATACAACAGGGGACTAAGTCCCCGCTACAGACGCAGAACACTAGGGTCTTGAATGCCCAGCTTCGCACAATGGCCTGTGATATTGATACTTATTATAAGGAATAGCAAGAATAAAGGGCTAGTGGTTTCTTATCAATGAACTCACTGCTCCACAGTGAAACCTAAGATGGAAAACAATTCACATCTTACCAATACCATTATATGAAGGGAGTCTTTTCCCCCCAATCTAGGTGCAGTTCAGTGGGGAAGTTGACACAGATCCCAATACTACTGGCAATGCTACCAAAACAGAGGTCAAGGGTCACAGTGGCCACTGTATGACAGTTAAATAAGAAGTGAATAAGATCTGATGTTTGGGTAGCACTTTTGCATCCATAAAATACTCAGGATAGCATGACAGATTTATCGAGGATGGGAAACCTGAGGCTTGTCCGTGGTGAGATCCAGGCTGGAAGCCAGTCTTCAGGCCCCTGGCTAAGTGTGTCGTCTCCTAGACATACTGCCTCTGTTCATCTCCCTCTGAATTCTTCTGGTTTCAAAATAACTAGTTAGCTCTGTCTCAACGCTTTCACACCTCCTGCTCTTCTATCGGCTGCCGTATTTGTGTCATTCATTTACTGAAATCATTTATTATAAAGAGTTTCTGCATTTTTATATTCTTTTAAAAGAGATAATAATTGTACAACTCTCAAAAGGCAAAAGATTATTCAGTGAAGCCTCCTTTACCCTCCACACCCCAGCCATCCAGTTCTCTTTCCAGAGGCAACCAGTGTTACCAGTTTCTTATGTATCTGTCTGGAGAAATTCTAGGGGTACACAAACAATTACATTTTACCATTTTCTATCATAACAATGGTAAAATACTATATATGTAATTCTTCTGAACCTTGCTTTTTTCATTTAATATATCTCGTTGGTCACTCCATATCAAAGAGATGTAAAAAAGATTTCTAATTATATATTTTACAGTAAAAAATACTCTATGACTGTTTCATAATTTATTTAATCAGTCTCCTCTTGGTGGACATTTGGGATATGTAAATTTTTTTCTATTAAGAACAATTTTGCAATGAATAACTTTTTACACACAGTTACATCATTTTGCACATGTGCAGATGTATCTGTAGGATAAATCCCTAGATGTGGAATTGAATTGCTGTGTCAATAGCTGTGCATCTGTAATCTCCACAGAAGGCAGAGACTGTGTTTTATCTTCATCTATCCTTGGTGTCTAGCACAGGTCTTGATACTTCATAGATGTTCAATAGGTATGTGGACAAATTAATGAATGAGTGAATTCAGAGAATGAGTTCAGAGAGTGGTCAACAAATCTTTGTTGAACAAATCAATGAATGAGTTCAGAGAATGAATGAGTTCAGAGAATGAATGAGTTCAGAGAATGAATGAGTTCAGCAGGGATGATCATGAGGGGGTGGTGACTTTTGGCACCATCTCTTGTATTTCATATACTACTCTGAAAATGACATCAAAATTTAATTTTCTTCATACTTATAACTTTCTTCTGTAGGTTTTTTATTTATTTTTATTTTTTTAGATACACGGTCTCACCATGTTGCCCAATCTGGTCTTGAACTTCTGAGCTCAAGCAATCCTCCCGCCTTGGCCTCCCAAAGTGCCAAGATTACAGGTGTGAGCCACCATGCCCAGCCCTTGTGCAGCTTTTAACTTTTCTCAGAATTTGTATTTGTCTATTTTTAACTTATAAAAATTAAAAAATATTTTAATAGGGGTCTGTGTCACCCAGGTTGGAGTGCAATGGTGTGATCATAGCTCACTGCAGTCTCAAACTCCTGAGCTCAAGCCATACCTCCCAGGCATTCCAAGTGATGGCACCTCAGGCATGCATCACGGAGACTGTCATCATTTATCTACTTTTTATTGCTCAGAAGAGACATAATTTCAACTCACCATGTGGTTATACTTCTGGGTTATGAATCATAGTTTGTATAACTCTTCTTAAAGATATTGTTCAAAACTTCTTTTGACTTTTAGTTGTAATTTGGACTCATTGCTTTTTAGTTCGGTAGCTATTACACCGAGCTTTCTTTTCATCACACAGCTGGGTTGGTTCCACTATGTCTTATGTCCAGTATCTTCTTCTTTCTGGATTTTTCACTTTTGCTCTATTATTTTTTTCCATAAAGAATGTACGCTCACCGTTTTGAGTACTGGCATGTCCAAAGAAATCTTTTATTTTGCTCTCATACATGAAATGCTTTGACTGGTTGTAGAATCCCAGATTTGAAATAATTTTCTATAGAATTTGAAGGCATTATCCTAGCATCATTTCTAGCAACCATCATTTCTAGCCACCTGTGTTAGAGACGAAACACTTGATACCTATTCTTTCTTTTTCTTCTTATTCTTTGAATTAAGAAATTCCACCAGAATAGGTATAAAGTTGGCCCTTCCTATCCGTGGATTCTACATCCTTGGATGCGATGACACACAAATAAAAAATATTCAGGAAAAAAATTCCACAAAGCTCCAAAAAGCAAAACTTGAATTTGTTGCACCCTGAGTGCTATGTTGAATCCATGCGAATGAAGCGATGAGTAGGCATGGTTAGACATTGTATTAGGTATTGTATTAGGCATTGTATTAGGTATTATATTAGGTATTAGGTGTTGTATTATGTATTGTATTATGTATTGCATTAGGCACTGTATTAGGCACTATATTAGGTATTGTATTAGGCATTGTATTAGGTATTGTAGCAATCTAGAGATGACGTAAAGTATGCCTATCTAGGGATGTGCGTAGGTTATATACAAATGCTACACCACTTTATATGAGACTTGAGAATCTGCAGATTTCAGTATCTGAGGGGGATCCTGGAGCTAATCACTCTATGGATTATATGCATAATCCACAGGGAGGACTATATGTAAGGAATGGGGGTGTGTGTTAATTTCAGGTGGGTCGTTAATCTAAAGACTTGAGTCTTTGGCTCAAGTTATCTCTCTCTCACTTTCACAATTGTTTTGCCATTCTCTCTCTTTTTTTCTTTCCTTCTGGAAGTCCTACTTGACAAATATTAAATCTTCTGGAGCTATCCCCTCAGATTTAATTTTTCTCCCATATTTTCCATCTCCTAGTGGATGCAGAGTGACTTCTGGAGTGTTTGCCTGAAGGCGTTCTACTCACACACCTGCCCTCACAGAGTGCCCCATCGGGCGCCCCACGCAGAAATAAGCCAGTTGTGGTAACAGACCTATACAAACTCTGGAGGAAACTCATTGTAGCTTACAGAAACAATCAACTTGGCTTCCTGATTTTTAACCCTCAATTTCGCCTGCGACTGCGAGGTCCTGGAGGCATCGCCCAGCCCAACCCCACTGTACAGCCGGGAAGTCTGAGAGCCGGGGTACAGCGCGACCCGAGATGATCCCGCCCGCGGGAGGGCTCGGACTAGACGCAGGTCTCCTGACTCCCAGCTCGGGGCTTTGGCCGCTGTCTTCTGCTTGGTGCCCCGCGTCTTCGCGGTAGGTTGAGGTGGCCGGAGCATCTGGCCCTACCCTTCCCACACGCCACACTCCTGGGTCTCTGGCTCTGGGGTCCGCAGAATTTGCGCCTGCGCTAAGCCTTTGGCCAGGCTGCTCAGTGGCGGAACCAGCCCTCTTTGCCCTGGCAACGCGTCACTTGTTGTCATGGAGACCGCGTTGTTTACCTCTCTGTTCTGCAAGAGCTGGAAGCTCCAGTTGGGGTAAGGAGGCTCCCATCCCGAGCTTGCGTAGTGGTTCTGTGTGGCGCTGAGGTAAGTAAACCATGACCCCACCCCACCGACCCCTACCCGCAACCCTCCCCGCCTAACCAAATCCTTATGACGTTGGGATGAGCCCTAATTTAGGTCCCCACCTCTCTGGGGGCTATTCAGACTTATCCAGGAGCCTTGGGTTAAATGCTGGGCTCCACACTCAGATAAATTCGGTAGAAGCCATAAAAGGGACTGGGCTAGGAAGAAACGGAGAAACTCCATGTTGTCTGAGGGGGCTGGGTGGGCTGAGGTTCTCAGCCTAGTCAAGATCTGACTCTAGTTTCATCCTTATATATGTGAAGGCTTCAGAGATCCAGAGGCCCCTAAGAGCAGGGACTCAGACCTTAGGGTAGAGATGGGAGTGGGGGCAGATTTCAGCCCTGTCTGAGGAAGGCAGTTCTCATGGTCCATCAGAGTTGTATGAAGATGAAATGGGTAATTTTAGCGTTTCCACTGCCGACAGCCTCTGCCAGCTGGCTTCCCCTGTGTTGTTCCCCTTCCTGTTCTCTCCTTTTCTTTGTCCTGGAAGTTTTCAGATTCTTTTATGTGTTGAACAAGTTCAATACCCAGTTGTCAGTTTACACATGTTACATTTCCTCCTCCTCCTCCTCCTCCTCCTCCTTCTTCTTCCTCTTCTTTTTCTTCTTCTTTTTTTAAGAAAACATCTCTGGGCTCATCTGTTTGGCAGAACATTACTCCATGACCCAACAATTCTAATGAGTTATAAAAATGCATACACGTGTTCACCAAAAGACATGTATGAGACTATTAATAGCATTCTCATTATGGCCCTGGAGTGTAAACAACCCAAATATCCATAAACAGTAGAAAAGACAGCTAGATTTTATTCATATAACGGCACCTACACAGCAACGAGAACGAACAAACTGCAATCATATAGACAATATGGATGAATTTTACAAACATAATGTTGAGCTAAAGAAGTCAGAGACAGAATAATACATACTGTATTATTCCATTTATGTTAAATTCAAAAACAGCAAAACGAATTTGTAGTGTTAAAAGTCAGGATACTGGTTACCCTGAGGGGCTTGAGGTGGAGTAACTGG
This sequence comes from Homo sapiens, assembly GCF_000001405.40. NCBI lineage: Eukaryota > Metazoa > Chordata > Mammalia > Primates > Hominidae > Homo > Homo sapiens. The sequence goes on along the minus strand of NC_000017.11, from coordinate 6,830,578 downwards.
GAGGAGGTTAGAGATGCTGGTAATGCTTGTTTCTTGGTTTGGGTGCCGGCTACACAGATAGATTTATTTTGTGTACAGATTATGATTTATGCAATTTTCCGTATATATGTCATCCTTGAATAAAAATTATCATAAAAAAGGACAAATTGCTTTCATTTAATCTAAAAGAGTCTGCTTTTGATCAGGAATTTGGAAACCTCAAATGGCTAAACTATTACAACCTCCACCCAAGTTCCTGCCCTCAGAGTGGCACATTGCTAACAAGAACCAGTACCACAGAGCAGACGCTCAAAGGTCCCGATCAGAACGCCTGGTCGCAGAAAGCCAGAGGCTTGTGGATGAAATTGAAAAGACCACAAGAAAATCTCAAAGCGATGTGAACAAGAAACTAGGTAAGACAACATGCTTGGCATATTCGTGAACATGCTAGGATGAGGCTGTTGAGTTTAGCTATAGTGTCATGTTCAGATGTGGCAACATATTATTTTTGAATATTAGAGAAAATCATGTGTATTCTCCAGGTTCTATGTTTAAGTTCACTGCCCTAAGATAGACACAAGGTAACCCAGCCTGATTTTCAGCCACCCATCATTCATTTATTTGTTGATTTGATGCACAGTTATTGAGCATCTATGGGCATCTATGTACTACACACTAGGCATATCACAGGGAATGATCAGAATCTCTGCTTTTTAGGGGCTTCTAACTTGAAGAGGATAAAGATACAAAAATTAATCATCAGAATACAGTCAGCCCTTTGTATCCATGGGTTCAGCCAGTTGTAGGTCCAAAATACTTAGGAAAAAAAAACAATAAAAGATTACAACAATTAAAGAATACAAATAAAAACAATACAGTTCAACAGCTATTTACATAGTATTTGCATTGTATTAGGTATTATAAGTAATCTGAAGATGATTTAAAGTATACTGGCTGGGTGTGGTAGCATGTGCTGTTAGTCCCAGCTACTTGGAGGGCTGAGGCAGTAGGATCCTGTAAGCCCAGGAGTTAGAGACCACCCTGGGTGATATACCAAGACCCTGTTTCATAAAAAAAAAAAAAAGAAAGAAAAAGAAAGGAAGAATGAAAGAGAGAAAGAAAGAAAGAAAGAGAAAGAAAAGAAAGAGAAAAGGAAAGTATATGGGAAGATGTGCATAGGTTATATGAAAACACTACACCATTTTGTATAAAAGACTTGAGCATCCATGGATTTTGGTGTCTGTCAGGGACTCTGGAACAAATCCTCTGAGGATACCAAGGGACAGGTGTATAACCAGATAGGTGCTGGGGTAGGGGAACAAAGACGGGGCGGAGTAGATGTGAAAAATTGGAAAAGTTTTTCTAGAGAAGAACATTTACTTGAGTCTTAAAAGGAGTCATTTTCTCTTGACAATTCCTTACTTAAAACAGTATTTACTTAAATTTCTTGAGACAGAGTCTCGCTCCATCACACAGGCCAGAGTACAGTGGCACAATCTCAGCTCACTGCAATCTCTGCCTTCCAGGTTCGAGCGCTTCTCCTGCCTCAGCCTCCTGAGTAGCTGGGATTACAGGCGTGCACCATCACACCCGGCTAATTTTTGTATTTTTGGTAGAGACGGGGTTTCATCATGTTGGCCAGGCTGGTCTTGAACTCCTGACCTCAGGTGGTCCGCCCGCCTCAGCCTCCCAAAGTCTGGGATTACAGGCACGAGCCACCGCACCCTGCCTAAAACAGTATTTAAAAGGTAGCGTTCTTTAGCAAAGATCTCAGGAAAGCACATTTAAAAAAAAAGATAGTATCCTTAAATAATCAAAACAAAAATAAACATAAAACAAAACAAACAACCAACGTCGGCTAAATGCCAAAAAGGGATTAACCAGGGGTAACCAACTCGACTATCTATAGGGACCAAGCAGGTAGCATAGGGATTGAATGTAAGGCATTAGGGTTTAGTAGGGACTGTGGGGACCTGGAGAACGTGTGCCCCATCTAAGGAGGAAGCTGCTACTCAGTTTCAACCCATTGCTTCCAAGAAAGAACATGAGCCCAGTGTTGCCTGATTGTCCGATTTTTTCAAGAAAATCTGGAAAGCAGGAATTTATTCACGTTTTAAATGTTGGTAACTGACTTAATTTATTTATAACACTGGGCCAGCTGAACAAACACGTTTATGGATCAAACCTGGTCTGAGGACTGTAGTTTTCTAATTTCCAGTAAATGAAACCTTCATTCAGGTCAGCAATGTTAGATGTTAGGCTCTCCTAATAGGTTGACCCTTACATTGATACCACCCTGTAGATAGGCCTGTTCTAAATAATTGTGCAAATAGGTAGGTGTTAAAAATGAGAAGGCGCCCGGGCATGGTGGCTCACGCCTGTGATTCCAGCACTTTGGGAGGCCAACGTGGGCGGATCACAAGGTCAGGAGATTGAGACCATCCTGGCTAACATGGTGAAACCCTGTCTTTACTAAAAATACAAAAAATTAGTGGGGCATGGTGGCATGCATCTGTAGTCCCGGTTACTCAGGAGGCTGAGGCAGGAGAATCGCTTGAACCAAGGAGGTGGAGGTTGCAGTGAGCCGAGATCGTGCCACTGCACTCCAGCCTGGGTGACAGGGTGAGACTCTGTCTCAAAACAAAAAAAAGAAGAGAAATCATTATTCATTTTCACAATACTCTGTTTCAGTAGATACGGGGAAAAAGTGAACCTTCATTGATTCATGGAATCATTTTAAAATTAGCCATTAGGCATTAAAAGCATCAAATATGTAGGAATAAATCTAGCAAAAGATGTGCAAGTGTTTTGCACTGAAAAATCATTTTTTCAAGAAATTAAAGAAATTCTTAGTAAATGCAGGGATTTATGAGTTAATGGATTGGAAAACCTAGTATTTAAAAGTGTTGATTCCCTTCAAAAATTAATCTATATATTCAATGCAATGCCAATGAAAATCTCAGCAGGTTTTATGGTGAAATTGGCAAACTGCTTCTAAAATTCATATGGAAATGCAAAAGGTCAAGAATAGGCACGAGGCTGAGTGTGGTGGCTCATGCCTGGCTCCCAGCACTTTGGGAGGCCGAGGTGGGTGGATCACCTGAGGTCAGGAGTTCAAGACCAGCCTGGCCAACATGGTGAAACCCTGTCTCTACTAAAAGTACAAAAAAATTAGCTGGGCATGGTGGTGGGTGCCTGTAATCCCAGCTACTCAGGAGGCTGAGGTAGGAGAATCGCTTGAACCCGGGAGGCGGAGGTTGCAGTGAGCCGAGATCACGCCACTGCACTCCAGCCCGGGCGACAAGAGCGAGACTCCATCTCAAAAAAAAAAAAAAAAAAAAATTGGCACAACTATCTTAAAGAAGAACACAGTTGGAAGACTTCTACCGTAGGTACTGAGAGCTGTGACAAAGCTATGGTAATTGAGACAGCAAAGTATAAGTGAGGATAGACCTGTTGACCAATGAAACATGGCAGAGTCCAGAAACAAACCCACATACATTCATTCATCTGAGTATGACAAAGCAACACTACAGTGTAATGGGCAAAAGAAAGCCTTTTCAATGAATTGCCCAATTAGATATTCATATAAAAAATGATATCTTGGCCAGGCGCCGTGGCTTACACCTGTAATCACAGCACTTTGGGAGGCCAAGGCGGGCAGATCACGAGGTCAGGACAGCGAGACCATCCTGGCTAGCATGGTGAAACTCCATCTCTACTAAAAACACTAAAAATTAGCTGGGCGTGGTGGCGGGTGCCTGTAGTCCCAGCTACTCGGGAGGCTGAGGCAGGAGAATGGCGTGAACTCAGGAGGCGGAACTTGCAGTGACGTGAGATAGTGCCACTGCACTCCAGCCTGGGTGACAGAGCAAGACTCCGTCGCAAAAAAAAAAAAAATAATAATAATCCCAACCCCTACCTCGTATTATCTATCTATCTATCTATCTATCTATCTATCTATCTATCTATCTATCTATCTGCAAATCTAAGTGGAGTGCATATCTAAATGGGAAAGGTGAAACAATGACACTTATGGGAGAATATATTTATGATCTTTATGACTTGTCGAAGGCAAAGATTTCTTATTCTTAAGCAGGCCTGAAAAGAAGCATTCATAGAAAAGAAAAACAATAAATTAGACTATATTAAAATGAAGAACTTTTGTTTAACAAAAATACCTCATCAAAAGGCTGAACAGCAATCTAAAGAGTAGGAAAAGATATTTGCAATATATATATCTGACAAATCCATATCCAAAATATATAAATAACTTTTAAGAATACAAAAGAAAAAGGCAGATAACTCAATAAACAAATGGACAAATCTTGACAGACACCTTACAAGCGAGGACATTCAAACAGCCGACGAACATGTAAAGAGGTGCTCTAATTTTATGAGTCATCAGGGACATACAAATTAAAATCAAGTTGAGATGCCATTATACAGCCATGGAATGGCTACAATTAAAAAGAAGGAAGAGAACAAGAAGAAAGGAGAGGAAAGAGGATGTGGAGCAACTGTTACTGTCATATTCTGCTGGTGGAAATACAAATTGCTGTAATCACTTTGGAAAGCTTTGGCAGTATTGACTACAGTTGAAGACATGCATACTTTTCACCTGGTTATTCTACCTTTAGAGTTTTATCATACGGGAATATATGTTTACCAAAGATATATGCTGCAATGGCCAAAGGAGGGCCATTTGTAATGGCCCCAACTGGAAACTACCCACATGCTTATCAACAGTAGGATGGATAAATATGCTATACCTCACAGCAAAGAGAATGAGTGGCCTACAGCTATATACAACACTACTGATGAATCTTACAAACTTAGTAAGATGCTGAGTACAATAAATGACACACAGATGAGTACATGCCATATTATTCTATTTATGTAAAGTAAAACAAACCAAATAAAATGAAAAATGAATCTATACCTTGGTGTGTGGAATGATAGAACTGGAAGGGGTCATGAGAGACCTCCTGGGATGCCAGTTATATTCTGTTTCTTGAGCTGGGTCTTATATGTGTGTGTTCACTATGAAAATACATTGAATTTTATGATATGTGTACTCTTCTATAGGTTTTTGATATTTCAATAAAAAGTTAAAAATAACTTGCAAGTACCTGTGCTGGTGCTGATGATATAGACACACCAGACTGGTGTTTGCCCTTGGGGAGCTTGCAGTCTGAAAGTAGAGATGAGTCCAGTACAGGATACCCAGGATACGGTGTGCTTCATCCCATAAGAGGCACCAATAAAGCACCGTCAGATTGGAGGAGAGGGCACATCACTTCCAATTGGTCACATCCAATGACTACTCAATTTTCCAATCTAATGATCACTTAGTCTTCATCCAACTTGATCTCTCTACAATACTGGATGCTCAAAACTGGATGTGTCCAGTTACTTTTAGAATTCTATGGCACAAATTTTTCCTGATTAAAATTTCCTTTCTCTCTGGCCATTTCTTCCTCTTCTCTATTATGGATGCTTCTTTCCCCATTCATTTCCTATTGGTGTTCTTTAGCGTTTTGTTCTTCATCTTCTTAGCTTTTTCTTCTCTTCTCTCTAAGCAATCTTTCTTGATGACCTCATTAGAAATTTTATCACTATTTTCTTTGTGTTATTGGTTTGCAAATAGAAATCTTCAGCTCTAATTTCTCATGAGAACTCTTTGGGAAAATAGAGAACTACTTGCTATATATTGCCACCTAGATTCCTTCAGGCACCTCAAAATAAGTATGTCCCAAGATGAACTCATCATTGTCCTTCAAAACTTGCTTCTGCTTCTGTAGTTCCCTATCCTGGTTAATGGGATCAGAGCTCGTTCATTCATTAATTCATTCACTCTTCAAATAGGTCTGACCCTGTGCTAGATGCTTAGGAGTATAAAATTGAAAAAGACTGATACATTCTACTATGTAAAAGAGACACAACACAAGTAAAAAGGCAAGTAACTAAAATTATTGTAAGTTGCTGGCCTAGATGAAGGCAATGGCAGTAAAGATGGAGAGAAAAGGTGCTCGATAATATGTATGTTGGATTTATGAATGAATTTTAACAACAAAAGTCAAGGAGATAGCTTGGACAAAATAATAAAGGCAGGATGAGTGGGACATTTATGGGGAATGAGTAGAGAGGTCCAAGTTAATGTGTAGAGTACGTGAGGAAGAGCAGCATGATGAAGATGAGAGGGAGATGAAGCAGGGCCAAGCCTGAGGAAGACCTTGATTTTGGAATGTTCAGTTCATTGGGTAGCCTGTTAGAATTTAAGAAGTAACGCCAGAAATCACATAAAGATGGGTAAGGGGAGCCATAAGGGTAGATTAGACTACCCAAAGAATGTATCAAAAGAGAAGAAAAGGGCACATGAGTTGAAGAGGACCAAGAGAAGAGCTGAGGAACATAAGTTCAGGTGGAAGAATAAACAGATGAGACCAAGGTTATGAAAGCCAAAAGATGAGGTTTTGGCTGGGCGCAGTGGCTCACGCCTGTAATCCCAGCACTTTGGGAGGCCGATGTGGGCAGATCACGAGATCAGGAGATCAAGACCATCCTGGCTAACACGGTGAGACCTCGTCTCTACTAAAAATACAAAAAATTAGCCAGGCATGGTGGTGGGCACCTGTAGTCCCAGCTACTTGGGAGGCTGAGGCAGGAGAATGGTGTGAACCTGGGAGGCGGAGCTTGCAGTGAGCCGAGATAGCGCCACTGCAGTCCGGCCTGGGTGAAAGAGTGAGACTCTGTCTCAAAAAAAAAAAAAAAAAAAAAAAAAGGATGAGGTTTCACAGGCGAGGAAGTCTTCTATTGTATCAGTGGTTGTCTAAATGTCTAAGAGACTGAGAGCTGAGCCAAAATAAATTTGGACTAGTGACTTAAAGATTATTGGTGACCTTTGAGATAAGAGATGTCCAGTAGGATAGTGGAGGGTACACAGTAGAGGTGAAAATCAGTTACAAGGTGTCAATGGGAAGATGCCCATCTACATGGTGGATTAAGCACATGCATTTGTCTTCTCTTCCTTTTAGAATTCCAACAAAATAGCAGTAAAGAATTAATAACAGTAAAGCTAACAAAATAATAATAAAGCTATGCCCCAAGCATGAGAGAGATTGAGATGCATACACAGGCAAGCACATGCGTGTGCACACATACACACACACAGAGAGTTAGAGAGGAAGCAACAGTAGACAAATAATGAAATCAAGATTTTAGAAAGCAAAGGTCAGCTGGTAACAAACCTAGGGACTGCAGAAAATCAGGCTGGGTAGAGAACAATAAGAAGCCAGCTGATTCATGCTGCAGAAATCTTGTAATGCTCAAAACTGGATGCATCCAGTTACTTCTGAAGCTGGAGGGTCAGGATAGAACCAGAAACAAGATTGGTTGAAAGTCTTTATAAAGAGCTTCCTCTTCACTCTGGCTCTCCCTCACCCCAGCAGAAGGTTAAAGGTTAAAAGGTTCAATGAATGTCTACTTGGTGATTCATTCATTTCTATGTCTACATAGTAATTCTTCCAGCTGTTTCCTAAGACACTGGTAGCCAGGCTTCTACCCTCAGACAGGAGACTGGAGGACTTTTCTGTGGAGAAAGTAGAAAGTAACTGGCCCCGAAAGGAAAGATCCATAAATATTAACATTTGAGGATTCTCCTGTGAGATGCCAGGGTCTCAACTGATCACTCTGTATGATAAAGCATTCTGGTTGACAAGCACTGTCCCTCTAGACAGCATTTCCAGGTAGCACTTTAGCATCTCAGTCTAAATCAGATGATCACCAAATAATTGAGGAAAGCCAATAACATGGCAGACACCAAAACAAATAATCAAAGACACAGAAACTCAGGAGACAGATAGTGCATAGAGAAAAAGAAGACATACACTATCAAATCCATCAAGAATTTAGAGAAGAGATTGCATCCTTGGAACATGCAGAGGAGTCTTTAAAAAAGAGAACATTTGGAGAACAAGCGTTCTTAGAAATTAAGAATATAAGAGCAGAAAAATCTTAAAAATCAAAAGAAGTGTTGAGAATATCCAGAAAGTGGGAAAAAAGGACAACAAAATAACAGCAAAGAAAAGACAAGAAAATTAGAGGATCAGTCTGGGAGGCTCAATAACTAATAGGAGTTTCAGAAAGAGCATAGAGAAAATGGAGAAGTTATGGTGGCTCACACCTGGAATCCCAGCACTTTGGGAAGCCAAAATAGGAAGATCAGTTGAGACCAGGAGTTTGAGACCAGCCTTGGCAACACAGAGAGACCCTTGCCTCTACAAAAATAAGAAAATTAGGTGGGTGTGGTGGTGTGTACCTGTAGTCTCAGCTACCCAGGAGGCTGAGGTGGGAGGATCTCCTGAGCCCAGGAGTTCAAAGTTACAGTGAGCTATGGTTGTGCCACTGCACTCCAGCCTGGGTGACAGAGTGAGATCCTGTCTCTAAAAAGAAGAAGATGAGGAAGCAGGGCCCTAGGCCTGGCCCAGGAAGCATTTTTTTCTCCTAGGCCTCTTGGTCTGTGATGAGAGGGGCTGCTGTGAAGATCTCTGACATGCCCTGGAGACATTTTCCCCATTGTCTTGGCAATTAGCATTCGGCTTCTTGTTACTTATGCAAATTTCTGTAGCTGGCTTGAATTCCTTCCCCCAAAATGGGGGAAGCAGAGCATCCCTTTTAAACATAAGTTCCAATTTCAGATAATCTCTCTCAAATTCAAAGTTCCACAGATCTCTAGGGCAGGGGCAAAATGCTGCCAGTCTCTTTGCTAAAGCATAAGAAGAGTGAACTTTGCTTCAGTTCCCAATAAGTTCCTTATCTCCATCTGAGACTACCTCAGCAGGACTTCATTGTCCATATCACTGTCAACATTTTGATCGAAACCATTCAACAAGTCTCTAGGAAGTTCCAAACTTTCCCAAAACTTTCTGTCTTCTTCTGAGCCCTCCACACTGTCCCAACCTCTGCCTGTTAACCCAGCTCCAAAGTCACTACCACATTTCCAGGTTATCTTTATAGCAGTGCCTCACTTCCAGTACTAATTCTCTGTATCAGTCAATTTTCACACTGCTATAAAGAAATACCTGAGACTGGATAATTTATAAAGGAAAGAGGTTTAATCGACCCACAGTTCCACATGGCTAGGGAGACCTCAGGAAACTTATAATCATGGTGGAAGGCTAAGAGAAAACAAGGACCTTCTTCACATGGTGGCAGGAGAGAGAAGAGAAAATGAAGGGGGAAGAGACCCTTATAAAACTATCAGATCTCAAGAGAGCTCACTCACTATCAGGAGAGCAGCATGGGGGAAACTGCCTCAATGATCCAATTATCTCCCACCAAGTCCTTCCCTCAACAGGTGAGGATAACAGCTGGAGATGAGATTTGGGTGGGGACACAGAGCCAAACCATATCAAAGGGTATATCTGGCATGTGACACAACAATTAAATAAGTTTGACACCAGTGTGAAATTTCAGGACCCTAGGAAAATAGATTACTAAAATTTTTCAGAGTGGAAAAAACAGGTCATATACAAAGAATCAGGAATCAGAGTGGCATCAGACTTTTCAACAGAAACTCTGGAAATTAGAAGGAAATGGAGGGACACAATCACAATTCCAAATAAAAAAGAGTTACAAACTGTAACTCAGGGCACAGCCAAATAGAATGAAATGTCGAGGGTAGAATAAAGACATTTGCAGACTTGCAGGTTTTCAAAAACTTTACCTCACATGCATCCATTTCTTAGGAAGTTACTGAAGGATATGCTTCAGCATACTGAAAGAGTAAATCAAGGAAGAGGAAGAAATACAATCCAGGAAACGGGACAGCAACAGGAGAAGAGTGAAGGGGATTCCTGGAAGCAAAGTCATAGGATGACAGCTACACAGCAAACTAGAGAGCAACTCATCCAGCAGGAGGAGAAGATGCTCTAGGAGAGACATCTCCAAGGAGGAAAGAAAATTGATAGCTTACTTGATGGGTTGGAATATATTGAGGGCATATTGAGAAAAAATTAATAATATAAAGAAACTGAAGGAATCACTATGCTACCCATTTTACTATCTCATAATGTCATGTTGTAAACCTCAAATATATACAATAACATTTTTTTTTAAAACAGAGTCAGCTTACAGAAGTGGAAACTGACACTACAACCAGTACATTATGACTTTAAGATTCAAATGCTGAACTACTCATTATCAATTAAATATATATATATTTAATTGTTTTCCTAGTATAATCAGTCATTTTTTACTCATGGTGACTAATAAATCTGCCTTTAATTATCATTTAAAAAAGAAAGTGAAGCAAAAATGCCATTTTAACTCCTCCCCAAAACAGAAAATTTTGTAAGAAAAGAAATTTATTACAGTGTATGATAGGGCTCAGGTGTAAATAACATTTATATATTTACAAAATGTAAATAAATAGTAAGTTTACTTATTTATTGTTTAACAAAATGGTGATACAACTATATTGGGAGACGGAAGTATGTTGTGTGAGTTGGTTAAGAGCAAATCATTATCTTTCATCACAGGAAATCAACATATAATATCAAAACTGATAATGAGTGAATAGCAGTATAAGCAAATGTCAGAAGTGATAAGGGGCCTGGCGCAGTGGCTGACACCTGTAATCCCAGCACTTTGGGAGGCCGAGGCAGGCGGATCACGAGGTCAGGAGATCGAGACCATCCTGGCTAACATGGTGAAACCCAGTCTCTACTAAAAAATACAAAAAATTAGCCGGGTGTGGTGGCGGATGCCTGTAGTCACAGCTACTCGGGAGGTTGAGACAGGAGAATGGCATGAACCTGGGAGGCAGAGCTTGCAGTGAGCAGAGATTGCACCACTGCACTCCAGCCTGGGTGACACAGTGAGACTCCGTCTCAAATGGATGGGGACAGGTCAGAGAGTTTTAATTCTTTGTGATACTATTTGACTTTTCTAACAACACACATTTATATCTTTGATAAAATTAAAAGTTATTAAAAACAGTGGGCACTGAAGAACTAGTGGGTGTAGAATGATAAATCTGATGTGGACTGTAAGAAAATATATCTTCCTTCCTTCCTGCAAATAAACATTTAAAAAGATGAAAAGATGCCCCAAATAGCACAGCACTAAGAGGAAAAGAGCATGTCACAGGTGGTTTTACAACAGTCTTCAAGTTTCTAATTCAAATGTTGGCTACCTTGGGATAGATTAGCCCTGGTGTAACTTCCCCGTGTGCTTCAGAACAGAGACTCGAGGAAGTCCAGTTCTGGAAGAAGGAGTTAGATGACAAACTTGAGCAGCTTGTGAATGTAACTGATGATCTACTCATATATAAGATCAGATTGGAAAAAGCCCTGGAGACCTTGAAAGAGCCCTTGCACATCACTGAGACATGCCTGGCATACAGGTAGGAGCGAAGGTCCCTCAAATGATTCATGTGTTGTGACAAATGAGATGCTGGGTAGTAAATGCCGGCTGTGTGCGATGGTGAGTTAGAACACAGCACTTGAGCAGGTGTTCTTTTAGAGCCTGAAGTTATCCCAGCATGCCCCTGGTGCTGGGCAGTGCAAGGGGCACTGGACTTGGTTCATGCCTCAACTCTGCTCTTGACTAACTCAACTCAAATATGTTAGGACTAGGTTTGGCTGTGGGTAGCAGAAAACTTTAAAATAATATTGAATTTAAAGAAAACGATTTCTTTCTCTCTTACATTCAAAGAGTCTAGAGATAGTCAGTCCAGGGTTGGAATGGTGGGCCACAGTTTTAGGGTTCCAGGCTTTTTCTATCTTCTTGTTCTACTGCACATGGCTTTCACTCCTAATGTTACCTTGTGGTTTAAGTTGGCAGCTGGAGCTCCAGCCATTATGTCTACATTCCAGCAAGTAGGAGTAAGTGGGGTCTGGCATTCATCATTTCTATTTGCATCCTATTGACAGAACTTAATCACATGGCCACACCAACAGATGCTGGGAAATGATTGGTTTTACTTTGGGCAGCCAGGTGCTCAGCCAAAAAACCAGGGGTTCTGTTGCCAAGGAAGAAGGTGAGAACAGACACTACAGCTCCCAGGGGACAGTATGTCTCTCCCATGCAGAGCCACACGGAAGCACTTTGTAATCCAGACAGCACTATAGGAACATAGTGCTTTTTATTATTATTTCCCTCCTATAAATCCAGTGAATAGAATGATCCTTTCTACTCTGGGGTGATGCTGGTTTCCAGACCTGGGTTCTGCCGCAGACCTAGCTGGAGTGCCCTAACAGGTCTTCTTGCTGTTAGCATAGTCCCCTATAATCTAGTGCACCCTGCACACTGGCTGTTGAGTGAACTTTTCCAAATGCAGATTTTTCCCGGTCACCGCCATGCTTAGAATCCTTCAAACCCCAATGGCTTCAAGATAAATTTTAAGCTTCTTAGCTTAGCAAACCAAGGTTCATCATGATAGGGCCCCCAGTGACCTCTCTGGATCCATATCTTGTCCCCAGTAGTGGGATGTGCTTAGGTGTGTGGAGCTACTTGCAGTTTCTCAAATGCACCATGCCCCTGTCTTCCTGGAAAGCCCTGTTCCTTCCATAAGCTTAAACAGGACCCGTTGCAGGAACCAGGCAGCAGTCTCCCCAGCCAGATTTAGAAATCTATGAAGCAAAGAGAAATAGCAGCTCATCAAAGAGCTCAACACCCAGTTGGCTCAAGTCTAAGCCTGAGGATAATGATAACGTAGAGGCTGCTAAGTTTACTGAGCATGTACTATGTGCCAGGTACTGTAGCTTATGCTTTTATAGCTCATTTGTAGTGTGCCACAATCCTATGAAGTACTAATAATTACCCCCATTTTACAGAAAAGGAAACCAAGGCACAGGTAGGTTATATAGTGGCTAAGGGCACCCAGCTAGTGAGTAGGGGAACCTCCTTTCCAAGCACTATCATGCAGGTTGAAAAAGAGCAAAACGTTGTGTAGCAGGGTCAGTTTGGGAGGAGGATGGCATCTTGGCTAGAAGCACATGTGGCACACAGTTCTGTGACACTGGGTAGATCACTTAGTCTCTCTGAAACTCAGTTTCCCCATCTGTACTTGAAAGGGCTAAGAAAGAATGTTTATATATTAATAAAGCTCAGCACAATGCCTGTCATGGAGTAAGTGCTCACTGGCAGAGGCAATATTACTATTGGTGTTATTATTATTAATAGTTATTATTACTATAAACATCTTTTAAAATTTTTTTTGAGATGGAGTTTCGCTCTTGTTGCCCAGGCTGGAGTGGAATGGTGCAATCTCGGCCCACCGAAACCTCCACCTCCCGGGTTCAAATGATTCTCCTGCCTCAGCCTCCTGAGTAGCTAGGATTACAGGCATGCACCACCACTCTTGGCTAATTTTGTGTTTTTAGTAGAGACGGGGTTTCTCCATGTTGGCCAGGCTGGTCTCCAACTCCCGACCTCAGGCGATCCACCTGCCTCAGCCTCCCAAAATGCTGGGATTACAGGCGTGAGTCACTGCGCCCACCCTAAAACATCTTTCTATGTTCAATTGTTTGTCTAAACACTGAATGAGGATCAAGGAAGGAAACAAGTCTTTGAATTTATTATTATTATTTAAAACTTTCCTCTTCTTGGGAAAAAAAGTCCATCTGGCTGCAAATCAAAACCACAATGAGATACCATCTCATGCTAGTTAGAATGGCAACCATTAAAAAGTCAGGAAACAACAGATGCTGGAGAGGATGTGGAGAAATAGGAATGCTTTTACACTGTTGGTGGGAGGGTAAATTAGTGCAACCATTGTGGAAGACAGTGTGGTGATTCCTCAAGGATCTAGAACTAGAATTACCATTTGACCCAGCAATCCCATTACTGGGTATATACCCAAAGGATTATAAATCATGCTACTATAAAGACATATGCACACGTTTGTTTATTGTGGCACTATTCACAATAGCAAAGACTTGGAACCAACCCAAATGTCCATCAGTAATAGACTAGATTAAGAAAATGTGGCACATATACACCATGGAATACTATGCAGCCATAAAAAAGGAAGAGTTCATGTCCTTTGCAGGGACATGGATGCAGCTGGAGACCATCATTCTGCGCAAACTATCACAAGGACAGAAAACCAAACACTGCATGTTCTCACTCATAGGTGGGAATTGAACAATGAGAACACTTAGACAAAGGGCAGGGAACATCACACACCGGGGCCTGTCAGGGTGTGGGGGGCTGGGGGAGGGATAGCATTAGGAGAAATACATAATATAAATGATGAGTTGATGGGTGCAGCAAACCAATGTGGCACATGTATACCTATGTATCAAACCTGCACGTTGTGCACATGTACCCTAGAACTTAAAGTATAATTTAAAAAAAATACAAAGAAAAGAAAAAGAGAGAGAGAAAAAAAAGTCCATTTGGCATGTTTCAGACCAAGTGACCAGTCATCAATCAATTTTTCTTCATTGTGTTTGGATATTTTGAAGTCACATAGACACCAACTAATATCTGTCACCCACTGTGTCATCGGATGGATCGGGTGACACTCAAATCAGTCGTGCAGATAGTTCTGAGTGTGCAGCCATTAGCCAATGTTGAGTCACCTCATGTTGCACGTGTTGGCTGACTGGCTGCCTTTCCCCCTGCCAGGGAGAAGCGCATTGGCATTGACCTGGTGCACGACACAGTGGAGCATGAGCTGATAAAGGAGGCTGAGATCATCCAGGGCATTATGGCTCTGCTGACCCGTACCTTGGAGGAGGCTTCCGAGCAGATTCGGTATGACTCTTCGGCCTGCCCTCCAAATCTCCACTGGGAATTTTGAGAAAAGGCAGTGTCCACAAAAGCTGGGCTCCATGGCACAGAAAGAAAGGGGTTCAACATTCCCGCTCCCACTTTGTGTCCCCAGATTGCCCCAGCACTCAGGGTAAGAGCTGGCCACATCCCTCATACATGGCAGCCGCCCTCTGGTAAGGGTGGGGCTGGAGCTGGATTTCACCCTGGTTATAAACTGGAGGACGCTGGAACCCACTGGTGAGGCTGACCCCTCACACATAGTAGGCTGCAATGGTGACACTGGAAAATGTAACAGTAGAAGGGAGAATCTCCAAGTCCACATTTGGTTACGTTGATTTGTCACCGGGCATCAAATGGTATACGCATGAGTGTTGGGGTGATGGGTGGGGGGCAGTACCATCATCCTGCACCAGACCTAGCTGCAGCTTCACTTTCCAGGACCTCTCTGAGGACGTGGGTGCCACCTGGGCACTCCAGAGGCAGAAACCCAGTTTACTTTCTCCCTTCAGGATGAACCGCTCTGCCAAGTACAATCTTGAGAAGGATTTGAAGGACAAGTTTGTGGCCCTGACCATAGATGATATCTGCTTCTCGCTCAACAACAACTCACCAAACATCAGATATTCTGAGAACGCCGTGAGGATTGAGCCAAAGTGAGTGGGCCTTGCCGTCTTCCTCCTCGCGGGTGACCCAGTGCTTCTCAGATAGGCAAGACCTAGCGGCTCGTCCTTGCAGCTGGCTGAGAGCTTGGAAGTGGTGGGCTTGGGGCAAAGGCAGCATTGAATGGTGACCTTGACATTGGGCCCAGAGGCTCCTGATTCTCCAGGTTAGGCTCACTAACTAAGAAAGTCTGACATAAAACCTTTAAACCTTTAAAGAATAAAACATTTTATTCCTTCATCTATACATGTTTTTAACAAGTAAAATAATCTAAAAATGTAGGAAGAGCAAGTGAATTTCCCCCCCCCTTTTTTTTTTGAGACAGAGTCTTGCTCTGTCACTTAGGCTGGAGTGCAGTGGCGCGATCTCACCTCACTGCAAGCTCCGTCTCCCGGGTTCACGCCATTCTCCTGTCTCAGCCTCCCAAGTAGCTGGGACTACAGGCGCCCGCCACCATGCCTGGCTAATTTTTTGTATTTTTAGTAGAGATGGGGTTTCACCAAGTTAGCCAGGATGGTCTCAATCTCCTGACCTCGTGATCTGCCCGCCTCGGCCTCCCAAAGTGCTGGGATTACAGGCGTGAGCCACCGCCCCTGGCCTCCCCTTTCTGTTTTTACATCCACTGAGATAACTGGTGTTAGCTGCATGTTCATACAAACATATGTACATGTGCACTCACACACATACGGTAAACTTTGTTTAGTTTATAAAAATGAGATTATACTATGTACCTTTTCTGTGACATCTAATTTGCATTTTTCGGTTAACATTATATCACAGCCTAACTCACTTTAATTTTTAAAACCTTCTTTTTGAAATAAAACATACATATAGAAAAGTGCACAAGTTTGAAGCATTCTCATTGTGTTAGTTATCTTTTGCTGTATACTAAATTATCCCAAAACTTTGCAGCTTAAGACAATAAACATGTATTATCTCATGGTTCCTTGGGTGGGGAAACCAGGCCCTGTTCAACTGGGTGCCCCAGGCTTGATGTCTTCTGAGGCTGTAGTCAAGCCAGCTGCTGGGGTTGCAATCCATCTGAAGGCTTGACCCGGGTGGGGTCCAATTCCAAGCTGATTGTGGGTGATGGTGGGCCTTGGTTCCTTGCCTTGTGAATTTCACCATGGGGATGTCCCATGACATGGCAACTGGTTTCTCCCATAATGAGTGATCCGAGAGAGAGAGAGAGAGAGAGAGAGAGAGAGAACGGATGACAGAAGCCACAGTCTTTTTTATATCCTAATCCCAGAAGTGACATCCTTCTATTTGTGAGAAGGAAGTCAATAAATTCATCCCATACTCAAGGCGAGGGGATTACACAAAGGCATGAATACCAGGAGGGGGGATCACTAAGTGCCATCTCAGAGGCTGCTTCTAATCACAAACTGAACAAAGCCTCATATCACCACCAGGTCAAGAAAGAAAACATTATCACCATCCCTATCATCCTGTCCTCTTCCAATCAATAGTCCCTCCCTCCATCCTGAAGGTAATAACTTTCCTGACTTGTAATAGGTTGGTTTTGCCTGCTTTTCATTAAACAGCATTATATACTAGATATGTGTGTGTGTGTGTGTGTGTGTGTGTGTGTGTGTGTGTGTCTGGTTTCTTCCAATTAACATTATTTTGAAGTTCATCAGTGTCGTTCCAGAAGATAGTTCCTCTTCAAACGAGTAATTTATTCACTTTTTTATTTAAATCTGTATAGATGGATGGTTTCTATTTTATTCAGTGTAATCTATTACATTAGTATTATTTTGATGCTCAAATTATCTCTAGCTGAGCAATCTCACCCAAGTTACTTCATTTTTCTGAGCTCAGTTTCCCTCATCTGTAAAATGGGGATTAGAAAAGTTAGCTCACTTGGCCATCATGAGGATTAAATGAGATAATGTCTATAAGGTGCCAGCCCAATGCCAGAGTAGGGAGGTTGCCCAAAGTGACAGCTATTGATACTGACAGACCACTATTTGCTCTGCCTAGAGATAGGGTAACATTCTAGGTGGTTCTTATGAGGGGAAGGTGTAGCTCGTCCCTCTCTCCCAACCCCCTTCCCCACCCCAAATATGCTGTGAATGAAAGCGTGAGGTCTGTTTCAGCTCCGTGAGTCTGGAAGACTGGTTGGACTTCTCCAGCACCAATGTGGAGAAGGCTGACAAGCAGCGGAACAACTCCCTGATGCTGAAAGCCCTGGTGGATCGAATCCTGTCCCAGACAGCCAATGATCTGCGCAAGCAGTGTGATGTGGTGGACACGGCATTCAAGAATGGGCTGAAGGATACAAAGGATGCCAGGGACAAGCTGGCTGATCATCTGGCCAAGGTGAGGTCCCTTGAGGGAGCATGGAAGAAGAGCAGATTCAGGAGCTTTCACCATGGAAAACAAGAATGCCCCCTGGGCCAGACCGCTAGACTTCTGGGCTTGGGATATTGGGTTAACTCGTGGGTAAGGGTCATTCATATCTCTCAAGCTTAGCAGCAGGCTTTGCATTTTTGGGGACTGGAGCGGGACTTTGCCCCACTCTGGGCCTCCATTGTCACTCACTGCTGCAGAGAACAGAAATGCAGAGAACAGAACCCTGAGGCAGGAGACGGGAGGCTTAGGGGCTGGTTGCAGCTTTGTGCCTGGCTGTCTTCCCACTCCAGTTGCCACTCCTCCGTATGTGAAGTACGGAAATGGACTACATGCTCTCACGTGCCCTTTAGGACTCTGAAGTTACAGGAGTTGATGCAGCCAGTTTTTCCAAACCCGGTTGGAGCTTTAGGACTCTAGCTGGTCGTTTCTCCTGGTTATACAGTGTTGCGCTGGTAAACTGGCTCTCAGAGGGTGTTTTAGTCACTTTCACACCACCGTAAAGAGCTACCCAAGACTGGGTAATTTATAAAGGAAAGAGGTTTAATTGACTTACAGTTCCACATGGCTGGGGAGGCCTCAGGAAACTTACAGTCGTGGCAGAAGGTGAAGGAGAAGCCAGCACCTTCTTCACAAGGCAGCAGGAGACAGAAAGAGTGCAGGGGAAACTGCCACTTTTAAAACCATCAGATCTCATGAGAACTCTCTCACTATCATGAGAACAGCATGGGGGAAGCTGCCCCCATGATCCAATTACCTCCCACCAGATTCCTCCCTCAACATGTGGGGATTACAATGCAAGATGAGATTTGGGTGGGGACACAGAGCCAAACCATATCAGAGGGGGTTAGTATTTGTACTGCAAATACAAAGTGGGAGCATTTGTACCACAGATATCGGCAAATTCTACAGATTAGGGTCCTTCCTGTAGAATTTGTCGATGTCTGTAGTACAAATACTCCCACATTGGTGGATTTCAAGCTACACATTTCAGCAGGCCACTGTCAGCCCACCCTACGCTTTACTGCTGGTGAAGCTGAAACAGAGAGGGGAAGGGCCCCAAGGCGGCACGGTGGGAGTGGAGCCCAGGCCTTCTCAGCCCCTGAATCCCTGTCCTGTTGCCACATCCTGAACACTCCCTCCCAGAGCTCAGAGTCCAGTTGTGGACAAGATTTATTTCTGTGATGTGCTGGAGAAACCAGAGTATCATCGAGGGTGAAACTGCAATATTCAGCAAACCGAGAGGTAGACGAGCCTAGTGGAAATGGGTAGACGTCAGAGCCAGACATCTTGGGTTTGAACTGTGGCTTCAACACTTGCTGTGTGACCTTAGGGAGACCCTGAACTCCCCTGTTCCTTAGTTTCCTCCTTGATAAAATGGGGAGAAACAATAGTCTTCCCCAGCCAGGGTTAAGTTAGACAACTCATATAAAATATTTAGAACAGTGCCTGGCATGTATACATTTCACACACACACACACACACACACACACATTTTGCATATATGATTAACATATAATATCATACATATAAATAATAAAAATAGTTGATTGATGATGATGATGATGATGATGATAGCCAAGGAATAATCCAGAGACTTCCTGGTGGAATAAGAACTTAGTATAGGCCTTGAAAGATGGATCTGAGATAGGACAGAAGGGAGGATGGGAGAGCACTGAGAAGAGAAGAGAGGAAGAGAAGAGGCTAAGGAGCAGAAACAAAGACATACTGGTAATAAAACAATAAAATAAGATGTCACGGCCGGGCGTGGTGGCTCACGCCTGTAATCCCAGCACTTTGGGAGGCCAAGGTGGGTGGATCACCTGAGAGGTCAGGAGTTCACGACTAGCCTGGGCAACAGGGTGAAACCCTGTCTCTACTAAAAATACAAAAAATTAGCCTGGTGTGGTGGCAGGCGCCTGTAATCACAGCTACTCGGGAGGCTGAGGCAGGAGAATCGCTTGAACCTGGGAGACAGAGGTTGCAGTGAGCCGAGATTGTGCCATTGTGCTCCAGCCTGGGCAATAAGAGCGAAACTCCATCTCAAAAAAAATGCATAAAAATAAAATAGTAAGATGTCACTGTATGGTGATACATGGTTGGAAAACTGTCAAGTTATATACATGTCACTGTGATTTATAGTGCTCTGGGCAACAGTGCAAAGCCGTGAGAACATCACATACAGTGTGTCACCATGACTTAATTCTGCCATGGTAGTTCAGAAGCAATAATAAATGAATAAGCATGGCTGTGTTTCAATACAGCTTTATTTATGGGCATTAAAAATATAATTTTATGTAATTTTCACATGACGATATTCTGCTTTTATTTTTCTCCCCAACCATTTAAAATTTAAAAATCCCTAAGACAATGAAAAGACAAACCACACACTGGGATAAAATACTTGCAAAATACATATCTGATAAAGAATTGTTATCCAAAACGTACAAAGAACTCTTAAAATTCAACAATGGGAAAACAGACCAACTACAAAAATGAACAAAAGCTCTAAACAGACACCTCACCAATACAGATATACAGAGGGCAAGTAAGCATACGAAAAGATGCTCAACATCCTATGTCATTAGGGAATTGCAAATTAAAACAACAACACCTCGGCACCTACAGAAAATCCAAAGCACTGACACCCCCAAATGCTGGTGAGGATGTGGAGCAACAGGAACTCTCATTCATTGATGATGAGAATGCAAAATGGTACAGCCCCTTTGGAAGAGAGGGTGGCAGTTTCTTACAAGGCTAAACATATACTCTTAGGATTCAGCAATCTCCTTCCTTGGTATTTGCCCAGATGGGCTGAAAACTTATGTTCATACAAAAACCTGTGTATGAATGTCTATAGCAGCTTTATTCATGATTGCCAAAACTTGCAAACAGCTAAGATAGGTGAATGGATGGATAAACTGTGGTACATCCAGACAATGAAATATTATTCAGCACTAAAAAGGCGTGAGCTATCAAGCCATGAAAAGACATAGAGGAACTTTAAATGCGTATTGCTAAGTTAAAGAAGCTGATTTGAAACTCATACTGTATGATATGAATCATAAGTCCAACTATATGACATTCTAGAAAAGACAAAACTATGGAGATGAAAAAGATCAGCGGTTGTCAGGGGTTTGGGTGGGTGGAAGAAGGAAGGAAGGATCAATGGAAGCAGCCCAGGGGTGTTCTAGGGCAGCAAAACATATTCTGTATGATATTGTAAAGTGGATACATGTAGTTATACATCTGTCAAAACCCATAGAATCGGCTGGGCGCGGTGGCTCATGCCTGTAATCCTAGCACTTTGGGAGGCTGAGGCGGGTGGATCACCTGAGGTCAGAGGTTCAAGACCAGCTTGGCCAACACAGCGAAACCCTGTCTCTACTAAAAATACAAAAATTAGCTGGCTGTGGTGGCGCCTGCCTGTAATCCCAGCTATTTGGGAGGCTGAGGCAGGAGAATTGCTTGAACCTAGGAGGCAGAGGTTGCAGTGAGCTGAGATCATGCCATTGCTATCCAGCCTGGGTGACAGAGTAAGACTCCATAAAAAACAAAAGCAAACAAACAAACAAAACTCATAGATTGTACAACACAAAGAGTGAACCCTAATGTAAATTGTGGACTTTAGTTAATAATAATATATCAATATTGGCTCATCAATTGTATTAATAACAAGTGTACCACACTAATGGAAGATGCTAATAATAAGGAAAACCTGGATGGGGGGAGAAAGCATATGGGAATTCTACTTTCTGCTCAATTTTTCTTTAAACTTAAAACAGCTCTAAAGAAATTGAAGATTATTACTTAAAAAAAATCTTATTTCACAGTCTGTACAAAAACAGGTTGCAGACTGGATTTAGTTTATAGGCCATAGTTTGCTGATTCTTGATCTCACTCATAGCAGTAGTAGTTTTATTATAAGTGTATTGCTATCTATGTATTTTGGATGGTTAAGGTATTTGTAAAATTTAAGAGATTTGGCCTGTTTTTTAAAAATTTCTTTAAAATATATAATTAAATAATTGTTTTAGCCTTATGATTTTAGTTGAAACTTTAAATTTGAAGATAGCATTCGAATATTTAAGAAAATTTAAAGCATCATCTTTTTTTACTAATTTGTTAGATTGACAAATCTATTTAAGAACTCCAGAAGGTCTTATTTGTTAAGATAATTTAAATAGGGGTGGAGCCAAGATGGTCAAATAGGAACAGCTCCAGCCTACAGCTCCCAGCGTGAGCGACGCAGAAGATGGGTGATTTCTGCGTTTCCAACTGAGGTACCAGGTTCATCTCACTGGGGAGTGTCGGAAAGTGGGTGCAGGACAGTGGGTGCAGCGCACCAAGCATAAGCCGAAGCACGGTGAGGCATTGCCTCACCCGGGAAGTGCAAGGGGTCAGGGAATTCCCTTTCCTAGTCAAAGAAAGGGGTGACAGATGGCACCTGGAAAATCAGGTCACTTCCACCCTAATACTGCGCTTTCCCAACGGTCTTAGCAAACGGCACACCAGGAGATTATATCCCGCACATGGCTTGGAGGGTCCTACACCCACGGAGCCTCGCTCACTGCTAGCACAGCAGTCTGAGATCAAATTGCAAGGTGGCAGCCAGGCTGGCGGAGAGGTGCCTGTCATTGCTGAGGCTTGAGTAGGTAAACAAAGCAGCCCTGAAGCTCGAACTGGGTGGAGCCCACTGCAGCTCAAGGAGGCCTGCCTGCCTCTGTAGACTCCACCTCTGGGGGAGGGTACTGCCAAACAAAAGGCAGCAGAATCCTCTGCAGACTTAAATGTCCCTGTCCGACAGCTTTGAAGAGAGTAGTGGTTCTCCCAGCATGCAGCTGGAGATCTGAGAACGGACAGACTGCCTCCTCAAGTGGGTCCCTGACCCCCGAGTAGCCTAACTGGGAGGCACCCCCCAGTAGGGGCAGACTGACACCTCACACGGCTGGGTACTCCTCTGAAACAAAACTTCCAGAGGAACAATCAGGCAGCAACATTTGCCGTTCACCAATATCCGCTGTTCTGCAGCCTCCGCAGCTGATACCCAGGCAAACAGGGTTTGGAGTGGACCTCCAGCAAACTCCAACAGAACTGCAGCTGAGGGTCCTGACTGTTAGAAGAAAAACTAACAAACAGAAAGGACATCCACACCAAAACCCTATCTGTACGTCACCATCATCAAAGACCAAAGGTAGATAAAACCACAAAGATGGGGAAAAAACAGAGCAGTAAAACTGGAAACTCTAAAAATCAGAGTGCCTCTCCTCCTCCAAAGGAATGCAGCTCCTCACCAGCAATGGAACAAAGCTTAATGGAGAATGACTTTGACAAGTTGAGAGAAGAAGGCTTCAGATGATCAAACTACTCTGAGCTAAAGGAGGAAGTTCGAACCCATGGCAAAGAAGTTAAAAACCTTGAAAAAAAATTAGATGAATGGCTAACTAGAATAACCAATGCAGAGAAGTCCTTAAAGGACCTGATGGAGCTGAAAACCAAGGCACGAGAACTACGTGACGAATGCACAAGCCTCAGTAGCCAATTCGATCAACTGGAAGAAAGGGTATCAGTGATGGAAGATCAAATGAATGAAATTAAGTGAGAAGAGAAGTTTAGAGAAAAAAGAATGAAAAGAAACGAACAAAGCCTCCAAGAAATATGGGACTATGTGAAAAGACCAAATCTACATCTGATTGGTGTACCTGAAAGTGATGGGGAGAATGGAACCAAGTTGGAAAACACTCTGCAGTATATTATCCAGGAGAACTTCCCCAATCTAGCAAGGCAGGCCAACATTCAAATTCAGGAAATACAGAGAATGCCACAAAGATACTCCTTGAGAAGAGCAACTCCAAGACACATAATTGTCAGATTCACCAAAGTTGAAATGAAGGAAAAAATGTTAAGGGCAGCCAGAGAGAAAGGTTGGGTTACCCACAAAGGGAAGCCCATCAGACTAACAGCTGATCTCTCAGCAGAAACTCTACAAGCCAGAAGAGAGTGGGGGCCGATATTCAACATTCTTAAAGAAAAGAAATTTCAACCCAGAATTTCATATCCAGCCAAACTAAGCATTATAAGTGAAGGAAAAATAAAATCCTTTACAGACAAGCAAATGCTGAGAGATTTTGTCACCATCAGGCCTGCCTTGCAAGAGCTCCTGAAGGAAGCACTAAACATGGAAAGGAACAACTGGTACCAGCCGCTGCAAAAACATGCCAAATTGTAAAGACCATCGACGCTAGGAAGAAACTGCATCAACTCATGAGCAAAATAATCAGCTAACATCATAATGACAGGATCAAATTCACACATAACAATATTAACCTTAAATGTAAATGGGCTAAATGCTCCAATTAAAAGACTCAGACTGGCAAATTGGATAAAGAGTCAAGACCCATCAGTGTGCTGTATTCAGGAAACCCATCTCATGTGCAGAGACACACATAGGCTCAAAATAAAGGGATGGAAGAAGATCTACCAAGCAAATGGAAAACAAAAAAAGGCAGGGGTTGCAATCCTAGTCTCTGATAAAACAGACTTTAAACCAACAAAGATCAAAAGAGACAAAGGAGGGCATTACATAATGGTAAAGGGATCAATTCAACAAGAAGAGCTAACTATCCTAAATATATATGCAGTCAATACAGGAGCACCCAGATTCATAAAGCAAGTCCTTAGAGACCTACAAAGAGACTTAGACTCCCACACAATAATAATGGGAGACTTTACCACCCCACTGTCAACATTAGACAGATCAACGAGACAGAAAGTTAACAAGGATATCCAGGAATTGAACTCAGCTCTGCACCAAGCAGACCTAATAGACATCTACAGAACTCTCCACCCCAAATCAACAGAATATACATTCTTCTCAGCACCACACCGCACTTATTCCAAAATTGACCACAAAGTTGGAAGTAAAGCACTCCTCAGCAAATGTAAAAGAAAGGACATCATAACAAACTGTCTCTCAGACCACAGTGCAATCAAACTAGAACTCAGGATTAAGAAACTCACTCAAAACCACTCAACTACATGGAAACTGAACAACCTGCTCCTGAATGACTACTGGGTACATAACAAAATGAAGACAGAAATAAAGATGTTCTTTGAAACCAATGAGAACAAAGACACAACATACCAGAATCTCTGGGACACATTCGAAGCAGTGTGTAGAGGGAATTTTATAGCACTAAATGCCCACAAGAGAAAGCAGGAAAGATCTAAAATTTACACCCTAACATCACAATTAGAAGAACTAGAGAAGCAAGAGCAAACACATTCAAAAGCTAGCAGAAGGCAAGAAATAACTAAGATCAGAGCAGAACTGAAGGAAATAGAGACACAAAAAACCCTTCAAAAAAAATCAATGAATCCAGGAGCTGGTTTTTTGAAAAGATCAACAAAATTGATAGACCGCTAGCAAGATGAATAAAGAAGAAAAGAGAGAAGAATCAAATAGAAGCAATAAAAAATGATAAGGGGGATATCACCACCGATCCCACAGAAATACAAATTACCAGCAGAGAATACTATAAACACCTCTACACAAATAAACTAGAAAATCTAGAAGACATGGATAAACTCCTCGACACATAAACCCTCCCAAGACTAAACCAGGAAGAAGTTGAATCTCTGAATAGACCAATAACAGGCTCTGAAATTGAGGCAATAGTTAATAGCTTACCAACCAAAAAAAATTCCAGGACCATACGGATTCCCAGCCGAATTCTACCAGAGGTACAAGGAGGAGCTGGTATCATTCCTTCTGAAACTATTCCAATCAATAGAAAAAGATGGAATCCTCCCTAACTCATTTTATGAGGCCAGCACCATCCTGATACCAAAGCCAGGCAGAGACACAACAAAAAAAGAGAGAATTTTAGACCAATATCCCTGATGAACATTGATGCAAAAATCCTCAATAAAATACTGGCAAACTGAATCCAGCAGCACATCAAAAAGCTTATCCACCATGATCAAGTGGGCTTCATCCCTGGGATGCAAGGCTGGTTCAACATATGCAAATCAATAAACATAATCCAGCATATAAACAGAACCAATGACAAAAACCATATGATTATCTCAATAGATGCAGAAAAGGCCTTTGACAAAATTCAACAACGCTTCATGCTAAAAACTCTCAATAAATTAGGTATTGATGGGACATATCTCAAAATAATAAGAGCTATCTATAAGAAACCCACAGCCAATATCATACTGAATGGGCAAACACTGGAAACATTCCCTTTGAAAACTGGCACAAGACAGGGATGCCCTCTCTCACCACTCCTATTCAACATAATGTTGGAAGTTCTGGCCAGGGCAATTAGGCAGGAGAAGGAAATAAAGGGTATTCAATTAGGAAAAGAGGAAGTCAAATTGTCCCTGTTTGCAGATGACATGATTGTATATCTAGAAAACCCCATTGTCTCAGCCCAAAATCTCCTTAAGCTGATAAGCAACTTCAGCAAAGTCTCAGGATACAAAATCAATGTGCAAAAATCACAAGCATTCGTATACACCAATAACAGACAAACAGAGAGCCAAATCATGAGTGAACTCCCATTCACAATTGCTTCAAAGAGAATAAAATACCTAGGAATCCAATTTACAAGGGATGTGAAGGACCTCTTCAAGGAGAACTACAAACCACTGCTCAATGAAATAAAAGAGGATACAAACAAATGGAAGAACATTCCATGCTCATGGGTAGGAAGAATCAATATTATGAAAATGGCCATACTGCCCAAGGTAATTTATAGATTCAATGCCATCCCCATCAAGCTACCAATGACTTTCTTCACTGAATTGGAAAAAACTACTTTAAAGTCCATATGGAACCAAAAAAGGGCTGGCATTGCCAAGTCAATCCTAAGCCAAAAGAACAAAGCTGGAGGCATCACGCTACCTGACTTCAAACTATACTACAAGGCTCCAGTAACCAAAACAGCATGGTACTTGTACCAAAACAGAGATGTAGACCAATGGAACAGAACAGAGCCCTCAGAAATACTGCCGCATATCTACAACCATCTGATCTTTGACAAACCTGACAAAAACAAGAAATGGGGAAAGGATTCCCTATTTAATAAATGGTGCTGGGAAAACTGGCTAGCCATATGTAGAAAGCTGAAACTGGATCCCTTCCTTACACCTTATACAAAAATCAATTCAAAGTGGATTAAAGACTTACATGTTAGACCTAAAACCATAAAAACCCTAGAAGAAAACCTAGGCAATACCATTCAGGACATAGGCATGGGCAAGGACTTCATGTCTAAAACACCAAAAGCAATGGCAACAAAAGACAAAATTGACAAATGGGATCTAATTAAACTAAAGAGCTTCTGCACAGCAAAAGAAACTACCATCAGAGTAAACAGGCAACCTGCAGAATGGAAGAAAATTTTTGCAGTCTACTCATCTGACAAAGGGCTAATATCCAGAATCTAGAATGAACTCCAACAAATTTACAAGAAAAAAACAAACAACCCCATTAAAAAGTGGGCAAAGGATATGAACAGACACTTCTCAAAAGAAGATATTTATGCAGCCAAAAGACACACGAAAAAATGCTCGTCATCACTGGCCATCAGAGAAATGCAAATCAAAACCACAGTGAGAGACCATCTCACACCAGTTAGAATGGCGATCATTAAAAAGTCAGGAAACAACAGGTGCTGGAGAGGATGTGGAGAAATAGGAACACTTTTACACTGTTGGTGGGACTGTAAACTAGTTCAACCATTGTGGAAGTCAGTGTGGCGATTCCTCAGGGATCTAGAACTAGAAATACCATTTGACCCAGCCATCCCATTACTGGGTATATACCCAAAGGATTATAAATAATGCTGCTATAAGGACACATGCACACGTATGTTTATTGTGGCACTATTCACAATAGCAAAGACTTGGAACCAACCCAAATGTCCAACAACGATAGAATGGATTAAGAAAATGTGGCACATATACACCATGGAATACTATGCAGCCATTGCAGGGACATGGATGAAGTTCTAAACCATCATTCTCAGCAAACTATCGCAAAGACAAAAAACCAAACACCGCATGTTCTCACTCATAGGTGGGAACTGAACAATGAGAACACATGGACACAGGAAGGGGAACATCACACACCAGGGCCTGTTGTGGGGTTGGGGGAGGGGGGAGGGATAGCATTAGGAGATATAACTAATGCTAAATGATGAGTTAATGGGTGCAGCACACCAACATGGCACATGTATACATATGTAACAAACCTGCACGTTGTGCACATGTACCCTAAAACTTAAAGTATAATAAAAAAATAAAAAAATAAAATTCACCTTAAAAAAATAAATAAATAAAATTCCAGGCCAAAAAAAAAAGATAATTCAAATATTTTAAAAAGTTATGTATCAAATTTATAAATGCTGCTTTAAATAAATATTCAAAGGACTTTAAGTAAGTTTGAAGTAGGAGCAATTATTAGTCGAAAGCAGCTTAAAGTAATTGCTAATATCTGCTAAATTTAAAAATAGTATATCTGTGAACCGGACTTATGAAAACCTTAAGAAGTGTTTAAATAGAAGCTTAAGAAAGCCAAGTGCAATTTCTGGACCTCATTGGGATGTAATTTGGACAAACCAACTCTACCAAAATATATGGAACAATTGGTGAAATGTGATCACTAAATATTATTATAATGTTAAAGAATAAGTCTTTTGTCTCTTTTTTGGTGTGATAAAGGTATTGTGGTTTTGTCAAAAGAAAATAAAGAATCCTATGCTTAGAAATACACACTCAAATATTTAAGTGAAATATTTAACTAAAAGGACATAATATCTGGGATTAGTTTTAAAATAACTAAGCTGATGGACAGGAGTATAGATGAAGCAAGACTGGCCACATACTGCTCATTGCTGAAACTGCTGATGACTATGCGAGGTTCCTTAGTCTATCTACTTTTGTGTATATTGCAAAAGTAGATGTACAAGTTTTAAAAAAAATGCTTAATGAAGAAATATATTTTAAACCAGTTAAATATTAATTTTGTTAAAACCAAGTAACTTAAAAGTAGTCTTTTTCTTTTCTTTTCTTTTTTTTCTGAGGCGGAGTCTCACTCTGTCCCCCAAGCTGGAGTGCAGTGGCACGATCTTGGCTCACTGCAACCTCCGCCTCCTGGGTTCAAGCAATTCTCCTGCCTCAGCCTCCTGAGTATCTGGGATTACAGGTGTGTGCCACAACACCCGGCTAATTTTTGTATTTTTAGTAGAGTTGGGGGTTTCACCGTGTTGGCAGGCTGGTCTCGAACTCCTAACCTCGTGATCTTCCCTCCTCAGCCTCCCAAAGTGCTGTGATTACAGCTGTGAGCCACCACATCTGGCCTAAAAGTAGTCTTTTTCTGTGCATAAAGTCACTCACAAAAATAACAACCAAACTCAGACCCAACTGCTCCTTCTTTCCTCAGGCTTCCAGAGGACAGAGCTGGTGCTAGCAGGATAGGAGTGGTGAGGAAATAGGCAGCTTTCTGCTCATGATACAAAGGTACCCTGTACCAAGGTGAGCAGGCAGCTTTGAGCAGTAGTGAGATCCCCACTCTGGCCAGGCCTTTGCTGAGGGCATCTCCTGTGGGTAGATGAGGTGACAATGGCCCGTCCTGTCCCTTGAGTCCATAAGGTTTTAAGTCTTATGTGACCTTGCCCACCAGCAATCACTGCTTTAGGGAAGAGAGATCAGACTCTGGCATGCTGCTTAAGAAGAAATCTGAGGTTCCCTCTTCCTAACTTACATGATCACAACCCATCTGCTGTCAGCTGTTGAGTTTTGAGGAGCACAGCTTGGCCTCACCTACTCTAATCCTTTTTGTAAGGTCATGGAAGAGATTGCTTCCCAGGAGAAAAATATTACAGCTCTTGAAAAGGCCATCCTTGACCAAGAAGGGCCAGCCAAGGTGGCTCATACGCGCTTGGAGACCAGGACACACCGGCCGAACGTGGAGCTGTGTCGTGATGTCGCACAATATAGGCTAATGAAGGAGGTTCAAGAGATCACCCACAATGTCGCAAGGTAGGCTAGCAGCCAGTGGGCAGAGGGCCTTCGGGTCTCAATCCCAACCTGGATATCAAGCAGAGGCTAGATAGTGACCAGCAGCGTGAATGAAGCCAGCCTGCTCTGGAATGCTTGAGGAATGCCCCCTAGAGGGAAGTCTCCACCACCTCCCGCCAAAATTGTTGCCTTGGAGAAAATGGATCCCAATATTGAGTGATTCTAAAGAAGCCCAAATCCAGATGTTTAGGTCAAATCTGCAGTTTTAAACATCAGCATTTCATAAGGTGTCTACGTCATGAATCTGGCCTGTGGCCGCCAAATTGAAATCTCTGTCTTTTTCTTTTTTTCATGGCCTTTTCAGTATGCATTTTATTCTAAAATTAGTGAGATCTCTGTCTTCATGAGGAGAGAGGAAGGGGAAGAGCACATATCAATTTGGCTCCTGCACTGAACACTGGGGAACATTCTTTCCCTTGAAAAAGCAATGCATAGAGAGAAATTATTCTCTTCTCTTCTTCCCTTTCTCCTAGATTGAAGGAAACTTTAGCCCAAGCTCAGGCAGAGCTGAAAGGGCTGCATCGCAGACAGCTTGCCCTGCAGGAGGAGATCCAGGTCAAAGAGAACACCATTTATATCGACGAAGTGCTGTGTATGCAGATGAGGAAATCCATCCCACTTCGGGATGGGGAAGACCATGGGGTCTGGGCTGGGGGCCTCCGCCCTGATGCTGTCTGCTAATAGTAGGGCTAGTTCCAATTCTCATTAAACCACATTGTAAACAGTAGTTACAGTAGTACAGAGCTCTCATTTCAGGCTGGCGGGGCCTCTAGCCAGCCTGCTGCAACCTCTTGGCTGGCATTCCAAGCCTGCTCAGGGGGCTGATTTTGGGGCGAGTTTCTTCTCTTATGCTGGTGTGGTGTTTGCCTAACAATTCAACTCCATATTTTAGCACAGGCCACTCTTACAATATCACAGGACTTGGGGCCCCAGGACAGGGTTTCAAGACATTTCAGTTCAGATTCAATTCAATAAAGTAGTTGGGCTGGATCACCTGTGTAGACCATGCCCCTCTTGCTCATGAGATGGGATGCTAACCTTTCTCTTGGCTCTCAAAATTTCTTTTCTCTAGAAAATAATGTGTTTTTTTTCTCTTAAATACTCAAATAACATAAAGAAAAAGAACAAAATTCCATTCATTCAAGTCAATGGGTTCAAGTCAATGGTTAAGACTGTAGGTTCCGGAGTCTGCCATCTGAGTATAGGACCTCCAATAGTCCCCACTCACAGGGCTATAGGGGCGTTGAATGAGATCACCTCCGTAAAGGGCTTCATACTGAGCCTGTATCATGGGGCAGTGAGTGTTTAATGAATGTGAGCCATTGTGAGCAGTCCCACCCTATACCAACATAATTTCTGCACAATTGTACTCATGGCATAAACTCAATTTCAGGATTATTTTTTTCCTTCACTGCTAATTATTGCAAGCCTTTGTTCATGTTGCTAAATTGTCTTTATAATTATTTTAATGGTTACGTACCTCTTTACAAGTTTTCAGCAAGACTGTTTTATATACTTACTGTTTCTTTTCCAAAAAGAGTTCAACTTGTGGGAGGCTGCCTTCCGCTGAGCTGCAGCAGGTCAGAGATCTATGTGGGTGACTGTCAAAGGAAGACATTTGCTGTGGGAAACTGCTCATTTGTTCCTTATTCCGCTAACATTGAAGGAACACTTTCCATGGACGAGGCTTACCATCTCAGCACCCTCCCATGTGTGAAGCTGCTGCTACACTCTGCTAACATTTGGTTCCCCGGTGCTCATGGACAGCTGACGGTGTGGGGCTCAGGAGACCTAGCTTCTAGTTGCAACACTGCCAGGAAAGTTTCTCTCCTTCTTTAGGACCACCTGTAAAGTAAGGAAAGGACTATATCGTCTGGAACTCTTCCTGTCCTTGCTGTTCCCTGAATCTGGCTGTCTAGCTGCACATACGGTGTCATAGGGCACAATGATAATGCAGAGTGTGGGCCTAATTCCTGGGAGCTTTGCAATCTAGGTGCTCCTTGGTCCAGAGACTCTTTGCCATCAGAAAGGGATGTTCCCAATCTGGGATGGAGAAACCCCCTTTGAGGCCAAAAGCACTGGCTTAATTCTGTTAATTCTGATCTATGCCACCCCAGTGCTGAACGTCTCCTCTCAGAGTGCTCAGCAAATACACAGCCCTTCCCATGCCTCAATCAAGGAGGGAGGCCCCTCTCTGCTCACTGGGAAGCCTCTGGGTGCTTTTCTGCTCTGGCTCGGAAGAGTCCAAATAAGCCTTCCCAGCTCACTGGGCAGACCTCAGAGTTTCTGCTAACTTAGCAGGGTTTTGAGGTCTGTCCCAGAGGATGTGGCTGGCAGGGTGTGAAGACACTGGGCAAAATCCTTCCTTGTGAATACAGCTCTCAGAGGCAGCCAGCCTCAGTGGTGGATTCAGATCCCAGGCTCTGCAGGGAGATGTGATTCAGATCAGCTGGTGGATCAGCTCCACGCTCTACCTGTGATGTGATCCCCGCCAAGTTACTCAACTTCCCCGAGCTTCAGTTGCCTAATCTGTAAATAAGACTAATAAAGCCTAGATTGGCGAGATAACGTGTGGAAGACTCTCAACACAGTGTCTGGAACATGCTGCTTTTAAGGGAAATGTGATTTTGATTATGGTTGAGGCCATTTCTCAACATGTAGACATAAAATGCGGAAACATCTAAGATTTCAATAAAGCAATGTTTTGTTAGTAAATCTGCTCATGCAATTCCTAGGTCTTATTGGGTATCAATGTGTTTCACAAATGAAATCTGGTCTTAGCCTGTGTTTCATGAAGGACATTTGCAATTAGCCCACGGTTGCAAAAGCCTTTGTAGCTACTGATGAAGGCCACCCTGTTCCGTACCCCTCTGACCCATCCAAGCCAGATATCTTTTTAAGACAAAGTACAATTTTTGTCTTAGATAACACAAAATTTATTTTTAAATACCATCACTTAAATTGGGAGTCATTTAAACTTGAATTTTCTTAACATAGAACCAAAGTTGAACGTGTCTGTAATCCACATAATTAAAAGAAACACAGGAGCAAAGTTTCTGTCTCTTCCGTGGTTCATTTGGCAGTGATGAGTGGGAATTCTCTCGGGTAGCACAGGATTTGGCACACTGGGAAAATCTCCGGAAGGTTGTTTTTCTCCCAGAGTACCCAATCTAGGTACTTCTCTATTCTGTGGATTCTGTTGCCTGCCACTCACCCTAACCCAGAGAGTCCATGTCTTGTCATCTTTGCCCTCCACCACCACTCTAGCATGCTCTGGGGGTGCCAGGCTTGGGAGTGACAAGGTCAGAGCCACCCTCCCAGGGGAGCAGGATCATATTTGGGTAACAGTAATGAGTAATGGCATTAGAACCCACATTTGGTTCCCGTTCAGTCTGGGCTCCATTTAAACGTAGTTTCTCATTCATTCATGCCCAGCCCTGATTCTTTCATGAGTCAATTTTTCTGTGGCTTATGTAGGTATGACACAACCTCAGGCCATCCCAGATAATTGACTGATGGGCAACAATAGTGATGACCTGTCACACTTGGCTGTGATCCACAGTTCATAAAGTGACTTCTTGTATATTTTCTCATCAAATCTTTACAAAAACCTGAAGAGGCTGGTATGATTACTAGCTCCATTTTATAGATGGGATGCTGGCCTTTATGTCAGACACACCAAGGTTCAAATCCTGGCTCACTCTTCCTCTTACTGTGTGACCTAGGGTAAGTTGCTTAGCCTCTCTGTGCCTCTGTTCTGTTATCTCAGAGTCATGAGGCCTACACTGTCCTTGTGATCCACATAGCCCTTTTCTGGTGTAGCACTTTGCCATCCCAGGCTCCGGGATAGAGGAGGCTAGTGAGATTTTTGTGGTTTCCAATAAATATTCTTACAGCCTACTGTTGACAAGTGCAGATACCCAAAGCTACAAAACTAACAAGAAATTAATAGGAACACTGATGCTGGATTCTGAGCTCCCTATCATAAGGAATAAAGTACCTGATCACGAGTCAAGCTGGTATCTCTCTCCCCCGGGCAAAAGAGAGACCTATCCTTGCAGCTGCTTAGACCTGCTGGCTAATCCATTGGTCTCTTGCGCAAACAGTCCTCTACTGGCGGGGGAGAGGAAGGAAAGGGGGAGTGGATGAAAAACACGAGGAATGGAGGGCTCCACCTCAGACACTAGTGTTGCAAAGGACACACACCAGGGCAGGGCTGGTGGCCATACAGTCAACAGTCTCTTGTAGTTAATTTATTTTTACAGGGCATATGTAGTATTGAGGCAAACCAAGTCTGACTTACAGAAAATAGCCCAAGGAAGGAAAATAGGGAGCTGGAAAGAAGAAAGTCTTTCAACTCTGCTTAATTAAGTGAAGAACTGGCTCCCACGATCTCACTTTAAGTCCATTGACTACAATTCTAGCTTCCAAAGGTCACTCTGCTACTGGGATCTAGTTTCTGTGACCACCTGATAAGGATGAGCTAACCTTTAACTGAGACCAGATCTGAAGTAAATTAAGTAAACATTCTTTGTTAATCACTGGCACTTGTGTTTTTCACAATGAGCTAACAGTGTTTAAGATCTGGCTTAAAGGCAACAATCTCCACTCTTGCAAAAGAGGCTCCACATTTTCCAGGCTTTGATGAGAACTTCGACATAAACGTCAAACACAGTTCCTGCATCCGAACCGATTCTGAGGCCTTGTAAAACCTGCCAAAATAATAGTTCCAGATACATCCATAAATCAATGAAAACCATATTTAACAGAAAGAGAATAACCTTATTTAGGAGAATCATCATATACAGTCTACCTAACGCCACTGCTAAAATATTGGAAATGAACTTGGTCCATAAGAAAGGTACTTGGAGGCCTGGTGTGGTGGCTCATGCCTGTAATCCCAGCACTTTGGGAGCCCACGATGGGTGGATCACCAAGGTCAGGAATTCGAGACCAGCCTGGCCAACATGGTGAAACACCATCTCTACTAAAAAAAAAAATACAAAAATTATCCGGGTGTGGTGGTGGGTGCCTGTAATCCCAGCTACTTGGGAGGCTGAGACAGGAGAATCGCTTGAACCCAGGAGGCAGAGGTTTCAGTGAGCTGAGATCATACCACTGCATTCCAGCCTGGGCAACAAAGAGCAAACCTCCATCTCAAAAAAAAAAAAAAAAAAAAAAAAAAGAAAGAAAGAAAGAAAGAAAGGCACTCGGTCACAATCAATTGTTCTATTTGCTGCTACCTGAAGAAGACTAATATGTTTAATTCAGAAGACAATTTTCCAAGTCTTTTTTCCTCTACGTAAAATTTTTCTCAGCTAATTCTCCAAAGTTAGTGGTGCGATTTTTTTATCCCTCCCAGTTGTTAATTTTATAATTGGAGAACCCCTTATATCACTGGTCCTTCTTGTGTGAAGATCTGGCACACGGAGTCAGCTGGGCTTTAAACTTGGGGGCTTCCACACCCTGGGAAAATGCCAACATCAGTCACTGTCTCAAACACCACCAGAAAATACTCCTGAGAGATCATCAGTTGAAAAAATGAATCTTAGAAAAAGTTTTAAATCCCACATGCAATTTCTCAGGCAAGTAAACAGTTCATTCTTGCGTGGTGGCATTAACGGTGTCAATGTTAAATGAAAGCCAGTTAGAAACCGTAGGGTGTTATGGAACAATTAGGTACCTTAATCCACTGAAACAAATGAGGAAAGTATAAACAGTCAAGTTTCTAGCTTATTGGTTCCTAAGATTCCTAATAGCCAGTGGGAGTGGAGAGGAAAGATTCCTCAGAGTGGACCCAGATCCTAGACTTATACTCCTAAGAGCATGAAAAGTAAATCTGCATCCTCGTTCTCACCAAGTCAATGGCAAGTGGCCACTGGTCCAAATACCACAGCAATGGCTTGATTCATTCTTTTCCCTGGATCATCCCCTGAAAACAGATTAATGTTCAAAATTACAGAACAGCTTAGACATTTAGGTGTGATGTTAGCATTTGGTCACATATTTGCTTGGGCTGTTTCTGCCATAGGTAATCAACCCAATGGTATTAGAACCCCACTTTGGTTCCCGTGCAGTCTGGGCTCCATTTAAATGTAGTTTCTCGTTCATTCATGCCCAGCCCTGATTCTTTCATGAGTCTATTTTTCTGTGGCTTATGTAGGTATGACACAACCTCAGGCTATCCCAGATAATTGACTGATGGGCGACAATAGTGATGACGTGTCACACTCAGCTGTGATCCACAGTTCATAAAGTGACTTCTCGTATATTTTCTCATCAAATCTTTACAAAAACCTGAAGAGGCTGGTATGATTACTAGCCCCATTTTATAGATGGGATGCTGGCCTTTATGTCAGATACACGAGGGTTCAAATCCTGGCTCACTCTTCCTCTTACTGTGTGACCTAAGGTAAGTTGCTTAGCCTCTCTGTGCCTCTGTTCTGTTATCTCAGAGTCATGAGGCCTACACTGTCCTTGTGATCCACATAGCCCTTTTCTGGTGTAGCACTTTGCCATCCCAGGCCCTGGGATAGAGGAGGCTAGTGAGATTCTTGGGGTTTCCAATTGACCAATGCATGTCAGGGAAATTTCTTCCTCTTAGCAAGTGTAGATACATCCCAAGGGCACCTTTCTAGGCAGGGGTTTCTACGTATCAGATCAGCAGGTAACTGCCTAATTTAAGACTGAAGTTTTTGAAAGATCATTGTCAAGTTCCAAATCACCATTTCCTAGAAAGGCTGAGTCAGCGTCTTGCCAGGATACCACCTCTGCAACAGCAGAGAGTGTGGGGCAGTGAAAGGAGAGGGTGAGATTCAAATTCCTGCTCTGCACAAAGTGGCTGTGAGGCTTCAGGGAAGTTATTTATCTGATCTTCCTTTTCTTGGTCTGTAAATCAGATGAAGAACATTCTTCTTGCCAGGATGTTGTGAAGATAAAATGAGTTATGGTATGTACAGTGCCTGATGTAGTGGGTTCCCATTAAATGGTACCCAGTTTCTTCTTAAATGAGTTAGTTTCCAATATTTTGAGAACTAACTCTTTGAACTAAGAGTAAATATTGAAAAGTAGTACCAGGGCTTTAAAAAGTCCAAATTTGTCCAGGCACGGTGGCTCATGCCTGCAATCTCAGCACTTTGGGAGGCTGAGGTGGGTGGACCACCTGATGTCAGGAGTTTGAGACCAGCCTGGACAACATGGTGAAACCCCGTTTCTGCTAAAATTACAAAAATTAGCCAGGCGTGGTGGTGGCTCCTGTAATCCCAGCTACTCGCTAGGCTGAAGCAAGAGAATCACTTGAACCCAGGAGGCAGAGGTTGCAGTGAGCTGAGATCACGCCACTGCGTTCTAGCAGAGTGAAACTGTCTCAAAAAAAGAAAAAAATAAAAATAAAAAGTACAAATTACCTTTCTCCCTCTTTCTTTCTTTTTCTTTCTCTTTCTTTCCTTTCTTTCTTTCTTTCTTTTTCTTTCCTTCCTTTCTTCTTTCTTTCTTTCTTTCTCTCTCTCTTTCTTTCTTTTTCTTCTTTCTTTCCCTCCCTCCCTTCCTTCCTTCTTCTTTTTCTTTCTTTCTTTCTTTCTTTCTTTCTTTCTTTCTTTCTTTCTCTCTCTCTCTCTCTCTCTTTCTTTCTTTCTTTCTTTCTTTCTCTTTCCTTTCTTTCTTTCTTTTTCTTTCTCTTTTGACAGAATCTTGCTCTGTCACCCAATCTGGAGTTCAGAAGCATGATCAGGACTCACTGCAGGCTCGACCTCCCCAGGCTCAGGTGATCCTCCTTCCTCAGCCTCCTGAGTAGCTGGGACCACAGAAAAGTACAAATTTCAAAATAATATATCCCACATTTATTGAGCACCTATCATGTAGCAGGTGTAGTGGGGAGGGAGGTGAAGCGACAATAACCATGATAGCTGTGAGAACAGCCTTGGGGATCAGGAACAACTTCCTGGAAGAGGAGCCGCCTAAACTGAGACAGGAAGGATGACAATGAGCCTGTCTGAAACAGCCATTACCAATTGGTGAGCACCTGCTATGGAACATGAGCAGAAATTCAGTAGCTGAGGAAAAAGGTAGGAAGGACATTCCAGGAAGATGGGAAGGAAGAAACCGATGCTTGAAAGAGCAGGGTGCTTTTAGGCAAGTGTAGATGGGGCTGAGGGCTGGAGGCTGGGCAGAGATTGGACCTGGAGGCCTGAAGGCAATGTAGGAGGCCCAGCAATCCAGGTAGACATAAGAGAGACTGAGTTAAGACATGAATATAGAAATAGTGAAGAAGGGACAGAGTCCAGAAACGTCTAGGGGCTAAGTGGCTTGGAGACTGATTTGTTATACAGGGTGAGGGACAGGGAGGGATCTAGGGTGGCTCCCAGGTTTCTGCCTTGAGTAGCAGGGTGAGTGGAATGCTGAGAGGGAATGTAGGAGAAGGAGGGCTTCTAAAATGAGGGTGAAGGCCGGGCATGGTGGCTCACACCTGTAATCCTAGCACTTTGGGAGGCTGAAGTGGATGGATCACTTGAGATCAGTTCGAGACCAGCCTGGCTAACATGGTGAAACCCCATCTCTACTAAAAATACAAAAATTAGCCGGACATGGTGGCGGGTGCCTTGATCTCAGCTACTCAGGAGGCTGAGGCAAGAGAATCGCTTGAAGCTGGGAGGTAGAGGTTGCAGTGAGCTGAGATAGTGCCACTGCACTCCAGCCTGGGCAATAGAGCAAGACTCTTGTCTTAAAAAATAATAATAAAATAAAATAAGGGTGAGGGTGGGAGAGCTAAGGAGGCAAGCTCTCTCGCTAATTATGAGGAGCCCGTGGGTGGAGAGAGGTCTGGCTATAGCAAGAGGGCTGGGAGACATCTGCAGACAGGTGGTGGTAGAAGCCATGGAGGGGCTGAGCCCTGAGAAGCACCAACACTCTCAGGTTGAGCGAGACATCCCAGGGGCTGGAGGAAGCCAGGACAGCATGGCTGTCACGGGTGCCACTTTTTAAGGCACTGGGTCAGCAGGTCGAAGGCTCCAGAAAGTCAGCTAAGAAAGGAAAAGCATCCTGTAGATTTGGCAATTAGGCAGCCCCCAATGACACTTTGCCAAAAGCAATTCCAAAAGAGTATTGGAGGAAGAAGTCAAGAAGTGTAGAGGCTTATTTTTGTTTTACCTATTGTTTATTTGTAGTAGAGATGGGGTCTCGCTCTGTTGCTCAGGCTGGAGTGCAGTGGTGTGACAGAGGCTTAAAGATGCTAATCTTTTCATATCCTTCACCCACTTTTTGGTGGGGTTGTTTGTTTTTTTCTTGTAAATTTGTTTGAGTTCTTTGTAGATTCTGGATATTAGTCCTTTGTCAGATGAGTAGATTGCAAAAATTTTCTCCCGTTCTGTAGGTTGCCTATTCACTCTGATGGTAGTTTCTTTTGCTGTGCAGAAGCTCTTTAGTTTAATTAGATCCCATTTGTCAATTTTGGCTTTTGTTGCCATTGCTTTTGGTGTTTTAGACATGAAGTCCTTGCCCATGCCTATGTCCTGAATGGTATTGCCTAGGTTTTCTTCTAGGGTTTTTATGGTTTTAGGTCTAACATTTAAGTCTTTAATCCATCCTAAATGATGAGTTAATGGGTGCAGCACACCAACATGGCACATGTATACATATGTAACAAACCTGCACATTGTGCACATGTACCCTAGAACTTAAAGTATAATAAAAAAAATGACCAGATGATTGATGCAGAAAAAAAAAGATGCTTATCTTTGGCTGGACTTTGAAAAGAAATTGACTAACCTCTGCTGTCTTCTGGTACATACATTGCCTCAAGGGCTGAGAAAAGCTGATAGGACAGAGAAGAAATAGTGAAACATCTCCCTGTTTACTACATGCAAACCTACAGTCACCATTATAAGATGCCAGGTTGGCTTCTTTCAATTTGGCCTACAGCCCTAAAAAATAAGTGTGTCTTGAAGACACAAACCTTAAAGCTGTGAATGGAGACTTTGAAAAGTATCTAGTTGAGCCCAGAAATGGAAGTAGCAGAATGCTATTGACCTAGTTGTACCCCAAACACTGAAGTCTCATTAATACCTAAAAAGCCTGAGCCAGCTTTTTCTTTCTGTGTTTACCTTCATACCAATTACATAATAAAGTCATTATGGAGCACAGCGTAGCTTGGTTTGAGGCTTGTGTGAGCTGTGGCTGTCAGCCCCGGCATATATTCCTTAAAATCCTTAAAGAAGACAAGTGATTTATAAAATACTTCCCATTGCCTGCCATATATCATAAATGGCATTTAAAAGGACAATTTCAGTTAGGTTCACAAACTCTTTATTGGAGGGAGTTAGCATTTCTCAAATTTGTTGGGATGGTTACAATTAAGGAAAGGATAGCTTTCTGTTGCCATGGAGATTAATGTGTCAGTAACAAGCCATACTGACGGGTGCCTGTTGCTCAAGCTGGCACAGACCCTTGTTCCCTCATCATCTCTGGATACCATGGGAAATCTTCAGTATTTTGGAGTCCTTGAGGTCTGTTTGTGAATAAATGCTACCTGTGAGTGCCATGTGGTGGATGGTGAGTCTATAACAGCTGCAAATCCTTTGTCTGACAATGTCACCAACACTTCTCACTTCTGAAAACCTCAGCTAAGCAAAAATATGGGCACAGCACACAAGAGGCAAGACAAACAAAATCTGAAATGTCACTTGTTAAAAGTGTTCTGAGATTTTGTTAATTTATATCTATTGAAAAACAGAACTCTATGCCACTGCATGCACAAAACCCCCAAAGGACCAGAAGTAATACAATGTCTATGGCATGGGCTCAGGAATTTATTATTATCATCGATCCTCTCTTCCAACCATGCTCTTCACTTAATAGAATTACGGTACAACAGACCCCAAATCCTCTTGCTGTGGGGATAATACGTAGGAATTAAGAGCAGAGCTCTGGAATTAGATTGGGTTTGACACTCACTTCCAGAACTTCCTAAATGTGTGACCAGGGCAGGTTAGACTTGCCAATCCTTCAGGATCCCTGTAAAAGAGGGATAATAGTAGTCTCTGCTTTCTAGAGCTGTGTGAGGATTAAATGAAACTAGGTGAATTTATGTCTAGCATGTAAACACTCAACCAGTGATCACTTTAATAACTGTCGAGACAAGCTGGGTGGAGGAAGGGAGAGGGAATGGGTTCTTCTCATTTTGTTGTTTGGGAGGAAGAAAGAGTCTTGGGTTCTAAATCTGGAGACTTTGGTATTAGTTCTGCCACAAACTGGCTGTATGACTCGGGGTAAGTTAACTTCCTTAGAGCCTGTTCCTTCATATATCAAACAAGATAAAAGCCAACACGGGCCAGGTGTGTGTGTTGCAATGCATGTAATTAATTTTTTCTTCGTTTACACACAGAGAAGCTGAAACTCAAGGAGGTTAAATTCTTGCCCCAAGGCACAAGACAAGTTCATGGCAGGCCAGTACTCATCCAGACACCTGGCTCCAAAAGCCAGGTTTGGGGCCATCAAACTTGGCCATTCACATCTATGTTCAACATCACAGACCCGGTCTCAGCATATTTGTGGAAAAATAAAGGAGACACAGGAAAAACGGAGGAAGGAGATTCGAGTCCACGATGCCATTAAGTCAGGGGCTGAGTTCCTTCTGTGGGAGGGAGTTCCAGCTCTGAGCAGACTCCTCCTAAAAGTGGGGCTTTTCCTGCTTCACCCAAGGGCAGGCTGGAGATTTCTATGCATCTGAGATTGGGCCCAGACAATGACAATGTCAATGTCAGCAGACTCCCCAATGAAGGTCAGTGGATACAAAGGATTTCTAAACTGATAATGTCGGTCAGTAGAAAATGTGATTCTATTTGCTTAATGGTTACACACACCCTTTCAGGTGCACAGGTTAGCAAGAGTCAGGGTCCTCTAGTAAGAGTCTATTCTGGGGCTGGGTGCGGTGGCTCACGCCTGTAATCCCAGCACTTTGAGAGGCTAAGGCAGGTGGATCATTTGAGGCCAGGAGGTGGAGACCAGCCTGGCCAACGTGGTGAAACCTTATCTCCACAAAAAATACGAAAATTATCTGGGCATGGTGGTGCATGCCTGTAATCCCAGCTACTTGGAGGCTGAGGCAGGAGAATTGCTTGAACCTGAGAGGCAGAAGTTGCAGTGAGCCGAGATTGCACCACTGCACTCTAGCCTGGGCAACAGAATGAGACTCTGTCTGAGGACTAAGCTCTGATTTTTTTTTTTTTTAAATCTTGCCCAAATTCCTATCTAAGGGGTCTGAGGAATCATGCCCTACAAGCCATAAATTCTAATTAGATGGGTTTTAGTTAACCCTGTATATAGTGACTTTCCAATCTGACTCTGGCATAACAAGGAAGAAAATCAAAATGTTTTATCCCAAAATATATTTTCTTGCCATACTTTGAAATTGCCCTGCAAAGTCTCTTGTGGGAAAAATCCATATTCTGTAGAGAATCTCCTCTCCCCTTTGTTTTCCTTCCTTCCTTTCTGGTTCCAGGAGATAATCAACTAAGAGCCAGGGACCGTTCTAATTCCAATAAGAAACATTTTACAACCTGCTCTCTCTGAAGTCTGCTATCTGAGAGCTTCCTTTGCGCAGTAAAACTTGGTCTCCACAATCCTTTATCTCATCCCAAACATTTCTTTTCTGTTGATCCCAGGTCTTCAGATAAACTCAACCAATTGTCAACCAGAAAATGTTTAAATTTACCTATACCCTGGAAGCCCCTGCTTTGTTGCCCCGCCTTTCTGAATCAAACCAATATATTTCTTAAATCTATTTGATTGATGTCTCTTGCCTCCTAAAATATATAAAAGCAAGCTGTACCCCAATCACCTTGGGCACATGTTCTCAGGACCTCCTGAGGGCTGTATCACAGGCCATGGTCACTCATATTTGGCTCAGAATAAATCTCTAAAAATATTTTACAGAGTTTGACTCTTTTCGTCAACACATCTCAAAAAAAAAAAAAGGAAGCTACTCTGAGTGGCTTTGGGTTTTTAGCTCTGTGGACGAGTGAGGGTGTCAAAAAGCAAAACTGACAAAAAGAGAAATGACACCGGGATAGTTGGTAAACATAGCGCTTTAAAGCCACCTGGAGCCTTCAGGTCATGGGCAGTCTCAGCCTTTGCTGAGCTGGTCATGTTGTCATGGAGCTGACAAAAAAAAAAAGTGGAGGGGAGAGAGAGGAGCAAAAGGGCCGGCAGTGCCCAAGTGTAGTTCTAAGAGAAATGATTTTCAAGTTCAAAGTGCTCCCAGCTTTCTTCATCTGTAGAGTGCTCATTACATCACAGAGTAAACGATGACAAAATAGCTAAGCTCTGATTCGATCAGCTTTCTGTACTTCCTGTAAATTTCCTGCAGGGTCTTGTCCTCTTCATTCGTCTCATATCTGTTTGTATAAATTCTCGCCTGTGCCAACAGAGAAATACATCCACATATGAGCACGCACACACGCACACACACACACACATACACACACACACACGGTGACTACACTTTTCAGGGCTTGACAGCAACTTAAATGATCTACACATACAGTTGTTGAATCAGGAAAATATGTTGGCAGAATCAGAAAAAGACCAAACCCAACTACTAGAAAAGAGAGCTCCAGATTCCCTTCTTTGAAACTGCTGATTTTCAATGAACAGATGATTGTCCCCCACTGCCTTATTCAGCCCTTCGTTCCAGAGCAGAAGCACCATTCCTGGATGCCCCCACTCTACGCCGTGGAACCAGCCTGGGGACCTCTTACCTTGAATACACGCAGGGCACACTGCCGTTCTTTCTGACTCTTCAGGATCCGCTCCACAAAACTAACATCAAGGAAAGCCCAGATTTTGAAGTAAAACAACTTCCTGCAGGATATGATGAGGAGGTGCAGCTCCTCGTCGAGTGACTCATGGTTGTTGTTGAATTCACAAGTTAATTTCTGGAAGAGCACCAAAAGGGAAGATGTGTGTGGGCAGAGATGCTGAGCCTGGCTGAGTTGTTCTGTAACATTTCCACGACCTGGCTCTGGGCCTGATAGCCATGATGATTTGGGGGTTTTTAACTTTAATTTTTAATTTTTGTGGTACATAGGTACATATATTTATGGGGTATATGGGATATTTTGATGTAGGCATACAATGTGTAATAATCAC
Organism: Homo sapiens; assembly: GCF_000001405.40. NCBI lineage: Eukaryota > Metazoa > Chordata > Mammalia > Primates > Hominidae > Homo > Homo sapiens. Next base: position 6,786,565 of record NC_000017.11, on the reverse strand, counting down.
AATGGGGTAAATAGAGTATCCATGACTTCAAGCATTTATCCTTTGTGTTACAAACAATCCAATTATACTCTTTTAGTTTTTAAAAAATGTACAATTAAATGATGATTGACTATAGACACCCTGTCGTGCTATCAAATACTAGATCTTGTTCATTCTTTCTAACTTTTTTTGTACCCATTAGCCATCCCCACTTCCCTCTGCACCCCCTACTACCCTTCCCAGCCTCTGGTAAGCGTCCTTCTACTCTCTATCTCCATGAGTTGAATTGTTTTAATTTTTAGCTCCCACAAATAAGTGAGAACATGCAAAGTTTGTCCTTCGGTGCCTAGCATATTTCACTTAACATAACAACCTCAGTTGCATCTATGTTATTGCAAACAACAGAATCTCATTCTTTTTTGTGACTGAATAGTACTCCATTGTGTACATGTACCACATTTTCTTTATCCATTGATGGACACTTAGGTTGCTTCCAAATATTGGCTATTGTGAACAGTGCTGCAATAAACATGAGAGTGCAGACATCTCTTTGATATATTGACTTTCTTTCTTTGGGGTATACACCTAGCAGTGGGATTGCTGGATCATATGTAAGCTCTATTTTTAGTTTTTTGAGGAACCTCCAAACTGTTCTCTACAGTGGCTGTACTACTTTAAATTCCCACCAACTGTGTATGAGAATTTCCTTTTCTCTACATCCTTTCCAGCATTTGCTATTGCCTGTCTTTTGAATAAAAATCGTTTTAACTGGGGTGAGATAATATCTCATTGTGGTTTTGATTTGCATTTCTCTGATGATCAGTGATGTTGAGCACCTTTTAATATACTTATTTTGCCATTTATATGTCTTCTTTTGAGAAATATCTGTTCAAGTCTTTTGCCTATTTTTTAATTGGATTACTATTTTTTTTTCCTATAGAGTTGTTTGAGCTCTGTATATTCTGTTTATTTATTAATCCCTTGTGATATGGGTAGCTTACAGATATTTTCTCCCATTCTTCCTGTGGGTTGTCTCTTCACTTTGTTGATTGTTTCCTTCATTGTACAGAAACTTTTTAACTTGATGTGATCCCATTTGTCTATGTTTGCTTAGATTGCCTGTGCTTGTGGGTATTGCTCAAGAAGTCTTTGCCCAGTTCAATGCCCTGGAGAGTTTCCCCAATGTTTTCTTGTAGCAGTTTCATAGTTTGAGGTCTTAGATTGAAGTCTTTAGTCCATTTTGATTTGATTTTCATATATGGCAAGAGATAGTGGTCTAGTTTCATTCTTCTGCATATGGCTATCCAGTTTTCCTAGCACCATTTACTGAAGAGGAGATCGTCCTTTTCCCAATGTATGGTTTTGGCATCTTTGTCAAACATGAGTTCACTACAGATGAATGAATTTGTTTCTGGGTTCTCTATTCTGTTCCATTGGTCTTTATGGGATTAATAAATAACCAGAATATATAAGGGGCTTAAAATCTGTTTTTATGTCAGTCTCATGCTGTTTTAGTGACTATAGCTCTGTAATATAATTTGAAGTCAGGTAATGTGGTTTCTACAGTTTTGTTCTTTTTGGTCAGGACAGCTTTAGCTATTCTGCATCTTTTGTGGTTCCATATATATATATACACACACACACACACACACACACATATATATATATAAATTTAAGATTCTTTGTTCTATTTCTGTGAAGAATGTCATTGGTATTTGGATAGGATTGCACTGAATCTGTAGATGGCTTTCGATAGTATAAACATTTTGACAACATTGATTCTTCCAACTCATGAACATAGAATATCTTTCCATTTTTTTGTGTCCTTTTCAATTTCTTGCATCAATATTTTATAATTTTCATTGTAGAGATCTTTCATTCCTTCGGTTAATTCCTAGGTATTTAATTTTATTTGTAGCTATTATAAACAGGATTACTTTCTTGATTTCTTTTTCAGATTGTTCACTGTTGGCATATAGAAATGCTACTGATTTTTATATGTTGATTTTGTATCCTGCAACTTTACTGAATTTGTTTAGCTGATAGTTTTTTTTGTTTTTGTTTTTGGTGGAGTCTTTAGGTTTTTCCAAATATAAGATCATATCATCTTCAAACAAGAATTATTTGACTTCATTTTCTATTTGGGTGCCCTTTATTTCTCTCATCTGATTGCTCTAGCTAGGACTTCCAGTACTATGTTGAATGGCAGTGGTAACAGTGGCATCCTTGCTCTGTTCTGGATCTTAAAGAAAAGGCTTTCAGTTTTTCTCCATTCAATATGATACTAGTTGTGGGTCTGTCATATATGGCTTTTATTGTATTGAGGTATGCTCCTTCTATACCCAGTTTTTTGAGAGTTTTAATCATGAAGGAATGTTGAATTTTATCAAATGCTTTTACAGCATTAATTAAAATAATCATATGCTTTTTGTTCTTCATTCTGTTGTTATGAGGTGTCACACTGATTTATTTGCATATTTTGAACCATTCTTGCATCCCTGGGATAAATCCCACTTGGTCAGGATGAATGATCTTTGTAATGTGTTGTCGAATTTGGTTTGCCAATAATTTGTTGAGGAATTTTCCATCAATGTTTATTAGGAATATTCACCTATAGTTTTCTTGTTTTTGATGTGTCTTTATCTGGCTTTGGTATCAGGGTAATATCAGCCTTGTAGAATGAGTTTAGAATTATTCCCTCTGCTTCTATTTTTCTGGAATGGTTTGAGTAGGATTGGTATTAGTTCTTCTGTAAATGTTTGATAAAATTGATAAAATTCAGCAGTACAGCCATCAGGTCAAGGGCTTTTCTTTGCTTGGGGACTTTTTATTACAGCTTCTATCTTGTTACTTGTCAATGGTCTGTTCAGGTTCTGGATTTCTTCATGGTTCAATCTTGGTAGTTTGTACGTGTGTAGGAATTTATCCATGTCTTCTGGGTTTTCCAATTTATTGGCATATAGTTGCTCGTTATAGGCTCTAATTATCCTTTGTATTTCTCTGGTATTGGTTGTAATGTCTCCTTTTTCATCTCTTGATTTTATTTATTTGGGTCTTCTCTCATTTTTTCTTATTTTTGCTAATGGTTTGTTAATTTTGTTTATTTTTCAAAAAGCTTTTATTTCACTGATCTTTTGCATTATTTGTTTCACTTTCACTCATTTCTGCTCCAATCTTTATTATTTCTTCTCTTCTACCAATTATGGGATTGGTTTGCTCTTGGTTTTTTCAGTCCTTTAAAGTGTGTCATTAGAATGTTTATTTGAAGTTTTTCTTCTTTTTTGATGTAGGCGCTTATAGCTATAAACTTCCCTCTTAGTATTGCTCACTGTATCCCACAGGTTTTGGTAGCTGTGTCTGCATATTGTTTGTTTCAAAAATATTTCAATTTCCTTCTTAATCTCTTCATGACCAACTGGTCATTCAGGAGCATATTGTTTAATTTCCATGTCTTCATATAATTTCCAAAGTTTCTCGTTATTAATTTCTAGTTTTATTCTGTTGTGGTCAGAGAAGATGCTTGCTATAATTTCAATTTTTTGACTGTTTTAAGACTTTTTTGTGACCTAACATATGGCCTATTCTTGTGAATGATCCATGTGCTAAAGAGAAGAGTGTGTGTTCTTCAGCCATTGGATGAAATTTTCTGTAAATATCCTTTAGGCCCTTTTGGTCTATAATGCAAATTAAGTCTGCTGTTTCTTTGTTGATTTTGTGTCTTGAAGATCTACCCAATACAGAAAGGAGGGTGTTGAAGTCTCTAGCTGTTATTATATAGGGGTCTATCTCTCTCTTTAGCTCTAATAATATTTGCTTTATATGTCTGGGTGCTCTGGTGTTGACTGCATATATACTTACAATTGTTATATCCTCTTGCTGAATTGACTCTTTTATTATTATATAATGACTCTGTCTCTTTTTATAGATTTTGTCTTGAAATCTATTTTGTCTGATATAAGTATAGCTACTCCTCCTCTTTTTTGGTTTCCATCGGCATTAAATATCATTTCCCATCTCTTTATTTTCAGTCTATGTGTGTCTTTATAGGTGAAATGTGTTACTTGTAGGCAGCAGATAATTGAGTCTTTCTTTTTAATCTGTTCAGCCACCTATGTCTTTTGATTGGAGGGTTTAGTCCATTTGTATTCAATGTTATTACTAAGTAGGGACTTACTCGGGACATTTCGTTATTTGTTTTCTGGTTTTTTGCGGTCTTCTCTTCCTTCTTTTCTTCCTTCCTGTGTTCCTTTTAGGGAAGGTGATTTTCTCTGGAGGTATGTTTCATGTCTTGCTTTTTATTTTATCTGTTGTATGTTTTTAGATTTGAGGTTATCATGAAGCTTGCAAACAATATCTTGTAACTCATTATTTTAAATTGATGACAACTTAACACTATTGCATAAACAAACTAATAAACAGCAAAACTAAAACTAATAAAAACTTTTTACCTTAACTTTGTCTCCCTACTGTTTAACTTTTTGTTATTTCTGTTTGTATCTTACTGTACTGTCTATGTCTTGAAAAGTTGTTGTTGTTATTATTTTCGATCAGCTTATATGTTTGTCTTTCTACGTAAGATATGAGTAGTTTACTCACACAATTCCAGTGTTACAATATTCTGTGTTTTTCTATGTACTTACTATTACCAGTAAGTAATAGTAAGTATACGTCTTGTACCTTCAGATGATTTCTTATTGCTCATTAATGCCTTTTTCTTTCAGATTGAAGAACTCCCTTTAGCATTTCTTGTAGGACAGGTCTGGTGTTAATGGAATTTGGGGGCTTTTTAGATAAGGGACATTGGACATGTAGTTCTTAGAGGAAGAGATTTGAGAATGATGGTGATCTCATCCAAGGTTGCAAAACTTGGAATTTGGAGGCAGTGTACTTGGAGTATACAAGGTGCTCGTCCCAGCCCTGCAGTGGACTGGCTGGGTGACTGTGGGCTGGTCATTGAACCTCAAGTTCTTCTGCAGCACACAAGGGTCATGATGATGTCTGCCGTACCCCACCTTTGGTTTATGTGGGTACCTAATGAGGTATTAGCACCTTGGAGTCCATCCATGTTTGTAGAGATACATAAACCTGTTAATATCAGTTGTCACAACCACTGTGAGGTCCTTGGAAAGACAAAATGATCCTGATCTTACAGGTGAGAAAGCTACTAGATTAGGGAACAACCCAGAAACTCTGAGCTCTTCGGTTGTGTAAATCAAATTTGACTTTTTGTCTGGCCTGGTCCTCCCCATTCTATCTCCCCAATTACCAGGCACTGGCACTGCTATAACCAGACAGATCCCCCACTGAGATCTGACCATAGGAGCCACAGGGTCTCCTGCATGCTGCTGTGACCTCGTGGAAAAGTAGGAAGAGGCAGCCCAGCCGCTATTCGCCTGCAAGGCACCTCCTGGCTCAGGCTTCATAGCTCTGAGTGGGGACTTAGGGGTTTTCCCTAGCTGACAGCTAACCAGATAATTCCTTGTGTCTGTACCACATGTAGGAAGTGAGTAGCAGCTTCTGTTGCCTACTGTGGTCTTGGGAGGAGGGCAGGAGGCTTAGTTGGTGGTATTTCCTAGAACTTCAATTTGAGATTGAGTGAACATTTGGGAGCCTAGCCAAGAGCAGGCAGCAGTGGGCTTTCTTCTGGGGAAGCCAGTCACCTGAACAGCAGTCACTCCTCACAAGTCCTACCTACCTGCAGAGTGTGCCGGAAGGTGGGCAGGAGATCTATCAGAGTGGGTCTCATTGAACAGTCTGGGTCACTGAAATAGCAGCTTCTCAGACTGATGCTCCTGATCGGGATCTCCTGCAAGAGGATTCGGGCCAAGCGTTCGTACTTCATGATCCGTTCAAAGAAGAAGTTCACCTTCAGATTGGTGGCCTGCCTGGCCAGCTTGGCCCAGGACATACCCCAGATGACCTGTCCGTGGGGGTCATGAACGTGGCATTTGATGTTGATGGTCCGGAGGGTGCTGGCATTCTCACACAAGTTCTCAAGCAGCTCGTCGGAGATACAGTTGTAGTTGAGGTTCAGGGACACAAGATTGTGGAATGTGGACATGGTCTTTTTGAACTGGGGGCTGTTGTAGACAGCAAGGTGATGGCTGAAATAGTCCTCGATGTTGAGCTCTGAGATCACATTCTCATTCCTCATGTAGCTGAGGGAGTCGAGAATTTGGCAGCCTTGCTCCACGGTCAGCCTGGCCCCTTTTAGGTTGAGATAATCCAGGCGTTTGCCCATCTTCTTTAAGAAGAAGCTCAAGCTGCTGATGAATGAGCTCCTGATGCTGTTCCTCCATACCAGGCGGTCCAGCTCCAGGTATTGGATGGAAAGAGATTTCAGACGGTTGTTGCTCTTACTCAGACAAGACAGGAGGCCCCGCATGGTGACCTGGAACTTCTTGGTCAAGACAGCATTGTAAGGATTCATGAATTTGACCTCCAGGTGCTCCAGATAACGACCAAACTTCTTAACATACCAAACAGCTGACTCAACTTCAGATGCATGTACCCTGGAAGGTCTCCCGCTGAAGGTGATGGTTCTGTACCGCCAGAGCTCAGCAGAATACATCATCTGGTTCCACTTTCTGCAGACAAGAGCAGCCCTGGACCTGTCCCTGTCTCCTAGCCACCAGAAAACACGGCACAGACACAAATCGGGCAGAAAGGCCCAGCAGCTCTGGTCTTGGGGCTGGATCAGTTCACTTTCTTCGTCCATCCAGGAACTGGGATGTACAGTGCAGCTGTGTGTTAGGCAGGGCTTCCAAAAATGAGGAAAGGAAAGCAATCACTTGCTTTCTGTGGGGAATAAAAAGGAAGAGCCATTACCTGTCAAACAGAGATTAAACTCAAATGAACCAGCTTTCCCTGTGGTCCCAAGTGCATTAGGCACTGTGCCAGGTGTGGGTGGTTCAATGATACATTCATGACACAGTCCACACCTGCAAGGATTTCACAGTCTATCCAGGGATACAGACCAGTACTCAATTATAACCCTGTGAGAGAGCAGGAAGGTTCAGGCAGACTCATAGTGTGGGGTAGCACACATGCAGGGTGACTTACTCTGTTTGACTAAATATAGTGTTTGGAAGTAGAGAGGGCTGCTCAGAGGAAGCGACGTCTGAGTTGGGTTTTGAAGGGTGAGTAGGATTTGCAAGGCAGATCAGGTGGGCCTAGTGGTAGTGGATGAGGAGCTGATGCATTCTGGGCAGAGGGAACAATACGTGCAAAGCCACAGAACTGTGAATGTATGTGATGTGTTCCCATTCAGGGAGCTAAAAATGGTTTGGTCACCTGGCACTTAACTTGTTAAGTGGGCTGGAAATGGAGGAACTGGATCACGTGGGAGCAGTGGGAAGTGCTGGATCAAGGGGTCCTGCGTGATGTGATAAAGATTATGTCCTAGAGGCCAGAGAGTCCCACTTCCCCTTTCCCCAAGATTCTGGAATTCTGACATGGCCTGTCCCCTTCCTGTATCTAGCTACATTGCTGACAGTTGTGTAAAATTCAAGAGGTGTAACAGCAGAACAGGGTGGAAAACCCCAGCTGAGGTCACAGAGAGCCATGAAGGTTGATTGGTCAAATGTCTGGAAGCCATGTGGTGAGTTTTGAGGTGTGGAAAGGACACTCCTGGGGGACAGAGGAAGGATGGTCAAGAGCAGAGTCCAGGCATTGTGGTGGGAATGGGGATGTGTTTGCAAGTTCTTTAGAAGACACGATTTGGTAACTGTTGAAGGAAGAGGTGGGGAAGGCTGGAAATTTTCTGACCCAACTAGAGAGTCCCGGCAGAGATCTGAGCGAAGGCCTGCTTCATCCATAGATATTTTATAGCCATCTGCTAAACTTTTTACAGTTTTTTGCTTTCAAAGTTTCATTTGCCTAAAAACTCTCCTCATGTTGTTTGCCCCTCCCAAACCCCCATTGTTCAAAGTTCAAGCCCTACCACTCCTTAAAGCTCTCACTGACTACTTTACCAGATAAACCCAAGATTATTGATCATGGCTCATAAAATTGTGGTGCTGGAAAGAGACCTGAGAATTGATTTCTTTTCAGATGAACACTGAAGGCCAGAGAGGTGAAGGGACTCACCTATAGTCTCACAGCAAGTTAGTATCGGGCCCCAGACTGGAACTTGGGCTTTTTGACTCTTTCTTCTGTACTTTTTTTTCCTGTCCCCACCTCTTGGACCACAAGGGTGCAGGGGCAAGTGAATCACATTTCCCAATTCAGGACTGACATTATTCGTCTGTGCAAGACCCCTCTCTAGTTTTATTTATTCATGTGTTCCATTTTAACCCTCTGTCCCATTCCGTTGCCCCCACCATAGGCAACTGTTCAAGTGTGTTTGACGTGTGTCTTTTTGTCTGTATGTGTGCTTGCCAAATGTGTACTTACTGTTTGTCGGACTTATTCCTGTGGCTCTGTGTACATTTCACCCATTGCGTCTAGCAGCTGAATAGAACCCATGGCAGGTATCCTGCCTGTCTCCCATCCTCTTTCCTTTGATGGACCCCAAGTCTCCTCCAGCTCCCACCAACACCACAGTGGCAGTGAGCATCCTCAAGTAAGCACAGTTGTGGGCCTCCCTAGGGACCTTCTCCAGGCTTTGTCCTCACTACGCCATCACTTTCTCTCACCACCCACTCACTGATTTGGCCCCTGTCTCCAGCTGGCCTTCCCACCGCCACATCCGAACAGACTTCCGTAAAGGACTGAACAGCAGCCCGTCCCGCCCATGACGTGGCGCCCTAGTGGTTCCCAGCATGGCTGTGTCCGTATTTAGCTTGCCTCCTTCTGCTACCTCTTGCCAGTGCCCCTCTTTGTATAATCTGTGTCCTTGCCTTTCTCTCCCAAGGGACCCACACACCCCTTGACAACCTCCTTCTGCTTTTGAGAAGGTACTTAAACATTTAACAAATGAAGAAATAGGTCTCTTCAATCACTTGCAAACTGCCCAAGGCTAGGGATCTCCACAGCACTCACCACCAAGCAAAGCTCCTAAAAGGTGCTGCAGAAGAGATAAACCAGTTTAAAAGCTCCACGAAGCAAAGACTTGGAATCAACCCAAATGCCCATCAATGATCGACAGGATTAAGAAAATGTGGCACATATACACCATGAAATACTATGCAGCCATAAAAAAGAATGAGTTCATGTCCTTTGCAGGGACATGGATGAAGCTGGAAACCATCATTCTCAGCAAACTAACGCAGGAACAGGAAATCAAACACTGCATGTTCTCACTCATAAGTGGGAGTTGAACAATGAGAACACATGGACACAGGGAGAGGAACATCACACAATGGGGCCTGTCGGGGGGTGGCGGGCAAGGGGAGGGAGAGCATTAGGACAAATACCTAATGCATGCGGGGCTTAAATTCTAGATGACAGGTTGATGGGTGCAGCAAACCACCATGGCACATGTATACCTATGTAACAAACCTGCATGTTCTGCACATGTATCCCAGAACTTAAAGTATAATAAAATAAATAAGTAAATAAAAGCTCCATGAAACCTTTTGGCCTAGCAAGGTTGTAGGTCAGGAAAAGTCATCAGACACTGGTGCTGTAAGGGTGGGGTTGGAAGAATATGTGTGTCTGGAAGAGTTGCTGTAAGGAGACTCCAAATTCTATTTAATGACTGGGAGCCTCCCCTTACCCCCCGAGACCCCATCAGAGGCAGTGTAGCTTAGTGGGCTGCATCCTAGCTATGCCCATTACAGTCGGATGACCTTAGGCAAGTCAATTTCTTTATGTGTGAATCCTCACATCTGTATATGGGGTAATAATAGTGCCTTTCTCTTAGTGTTGGGAGGATTAAGTGAGCTGATACCTGGAAAGCACCGGGAACAGTGAGTGCCTGCCACGTAGTAAACGCTATACAAGAGCTGGCTGCCATTAATAAGAAAGTTGGTGCCGAGGTACTTCTGCAACGTCCCGCCAAGGAAGATAGGAATACAAACACATCCATTTCACAAATACGGAAACGGAGGTGTTGGAAGGTGAATAAAGTTTCCCAGGGAGAACGTGTAGTAAGTGGGGAGATAGGATTCGAACCCAGGGTTGGTCCACCATATCACACAGCTGCCAACCAGGGAGGGAAATCTAAAGATGTCCTACCCACCGCGGGAGGGGGAGTTGGCCTGGCAACTCCTGCAGCCAAAGATGCTTCCCAGAGGGGGTGATGAGAGCAGCCCGCCTCCCCGCCGCGGGCCTCGGGGCATCCCACCGCCACCCCAGCCTGCTCCGGCCCGCATTCTCCCGTTACCCGTTCGCTGAACCCCGCTCGGGCTGCAGGGACTGGAGCGCGCCTACCTGCTCCGCCCGCGCAGCTGTTGCTCCGACGCCAACTCCATGGGCGCCCCGGGTCTGCGCCTTGCTCTGGCCCAAGCTAAATGCCAAGCTCCGGCCGCCTTTGTGACGCGCTGCCGCCTGCAAGGCTCTGTTCCTGCCCCCGGGTCGCAGAGCCCCAAACCTGCAGTTGCCTGGTCAGTGGATCCCATGTGCAGAGGGCGAGACGGGGCCCTGGCCAGGCGTTGGGAGGCGGGAGGCTCGGCCGGCGCTCCGGGTGAGGATGGCACGCCCCCGCCCTTGCTTCTGCGCACAGGGAAGACATTCGGCCCCGAACTTGGGGCTCAAAACGGTTCAGTTCGCTGCCTTTCCCATCCTGACCCAGCCCCGGGTTTTTTCCGAAGCCGCCGCTGGATAGGTTGCATTACTAGGCTTCCCCCAGCCACTCTCCCTGCCCAAAGCCTTCAGAAGCCGCCCCTCTCCCCTTCACCTGGCCCTTATCCACTGTCCCAGCCTCATTTCTTTCCCCCTCCCTGAATGTCTTCTGCTCCCCTTTCCTTGGGCACTGCCCTTATCCTGGGGTCCTGGCTGCTGCCATTCCTGGCCCTGGAAAACCAGTGCGGAACCCAAAGAAAGGTGGAAGAGCAGCTTTTAGAGAGGTGTTTTTATTCTTTGGGGACAAAGCCGGGTTCTGTGGGTGTAGGATTCTCCAGGTTCTCCAGGCTGTAGGGCCCAGAGGCTTAATCAGAATTTTCAGACAAAACTGGAACCTTTCTTTTTTCCCGTTGGTTTATTTGTAGTCCTTGGGCAAACCAATGTCTTTGTTCGAAAGAGGGAAAATAATCCAAACGTTTTTCTTTTAACTTTTTTTTTAGGTTCAGGGGCACATGTGTAGGCTTGCTATATAGGTAAATTGCATGTCACCAGGGTTTGTTGTACAGATTATTTCATCATCCAGATAAAAAGCATAGTACCAGATAGGTAGTTTTTTGATCCTCACCCTCCTTCCATGCTCCGACCTCAGGTAGGCCCCAGTGTCTGCGGTTCCCTTCTTTGTATCCATGTGTACTCAATGTTTAGCTTCTACTTATAAGTGAGAACATGTGGTATTTGGTTTTCTGTTTCTGAGTGAGTTCATTTAGGATAATGGCTTCCAGCTCCATCCACGTTGCTGCACAGGACATGATCCCATTCTTTTTTATGGCTGCATAGTATTCCATGGTGTATATGTGCCACATTTTCTTTTTTTTTTTTTTAAGGCAGAGTCTCGCTTGGTTGCCCAGGCTGGAGTGCAGTGGCAGGATCTCGGCTCACTGCAACCACCACCTTCCAGGTTCAAGCGATTCTCACGCCTAGGCCTCCCAAGTAGCTGGGATGACAGGTGCTCGCCACCACGCCTGGCTAATTTTCGTATTTTTAGCGGAGACGGAGTTTCTCCATGTTGGCCAGGCTGGTCTCAAACTCCTGACCTCAGGTGAACCACCCGCCTCAGCCTCCCAAAGTGCTGGGATTACAGACATGAGCCACCACTCCCTGCCACCACATTTTCTTTATCCTTTCTACCACTGATGGACATTTAGTTTGATTCCCTGACTTTGCGATTGTGTATAGTGCTGCCGTGAACATTTGTGTATATATGTCTTTATGACAGAATGATTTAGATTCCTTTGGGTATATAACCAATAATGGGATTGCTGAGTCAAATGGTAATTCTGTTTAATCATGTCCCATTTGTCAATTTTTGCTTTCGTTACAATTATTTTTGGGATCTTTGTCATGAAATCTTTTTCCGTTCCTATGTCCAGAATGGTATTGCCTAGGTTATCTTCCAGAGTTTTTATAGTTTGGGGTTTTACATTTAAGTCTTTAATCCATCTTGAGTTGATTTTTGCATATGGTGTAAGGAAGTGGTTCAGTTTCAATCCTCTGCATATGGCTAGCTAGTTATCCCAGTACCACTTACTGAATGGGGAATTCTTTCCCCATTGCGTATTTTTGTCAACTTTGTCAAAGATTAGATGGTTGTAGGTGTGTAGCTTTATTTCTGGGCCCTCTATTCTGTTCCATTGATCTATGTGTCTGCTTTTGTACCAGCACCATGCTTTTGTACCAGTATCATGCAGTTTTGGTTACTGTAGCCCTGTAGTATAGTTTGAAGTTGGGTAATGCGATGCCTCCAGCTTTGTTCTTTTTGCTTAGGATTGCTTTGGCTTTTTGGGCTCTTTTTTGGTTTCAAATAAATTTTAATGCTTTTTTTTTCTGATTCTGTGAAGAATGTTATTGGTAGTTTGATAGGAATAGCATTGAATCTATAAATTGCTTTGGGTAGTATGGCCATTTTAACAATATTGATTCTTCCTATCCATAAGTATGGAATGTTTTTCCATTTGTGTCATCTCTGATTTCTTTCAGCAGTGTTTTGTAATTTTTGTTGTAGAGATCTTTCATCTCCCTGGTTAGCTGTATTCCTAGGTATTTTATTCTTTTTGTGGCAATTGTGAATAGGATTGCATTCTTGATTTGGCTCTCAGCTTGGATGTCGTTGGTGTATAAAAATGCTACCATATTTTGTATATTGATTTTGTCTCCTGAAAGTTAGCTGAAGTTGTTTATCAGATCTAGGAGCTTTTGGGCCAAGATCATGGGGTTTTCTAGATATAGAATCATATCGTCTGCAAACAGAGATACTTCGACTTCCTTTCTTTTTGGTTGCCTTTTATTTCTTTCTCTTGCCTGATTGCTGTGGCGAGGACTTCCAGTACTATGTTGAATAGGACTGAAGTGCCTTGTTCTACTTCTCAAGAGTAATGCTCCAGCTTTTGCTCATTCAGTATGATGTTGGCTGTGGTTTTGTCATAGATGGCTCTTATTATTTTGAGGTATGTTCCTTCGACGCCTGGTTTGTTGAGGGTTTTTAACATGAAGTCAAGTTGAATTTTATCAAAAGCCTTTTCTGTATCTATTGAGATGATACGTGAGTTTTGTTTTTAGTTCTGCCAAACCTTTTCTTTTAAAGCCCAACGAATAAAACCCATCACCTTTCACAAGACCACCACAGCAAGTAGGCAGGAATGCCAGTGTTAAAAGTGAAATCTTTTGAATTTGTAGTACCTTTCCTTTTCCAAATCTAGCTGAAATTTCTCACTTGTTTTCCTTTTGATGAAGCTAACCACCGGCATTTCTCCTAAGAAATGGATATAAAAAAAGTTTGATATGGTTAAAGTAAGAAGTGCTAGCTCCTAGAATATCTCTGGATATTGCTGTCCCTTGTTACAGAGCATGAGCCCTGCCCAAAGACTGGAGTGTAATGGCATAGAAAAGGTCAGGAGCCCACTGAGCCAGAAGTATAGGAGGCTTGCGACAAAGTTTAACAGGGGCCTGTTGCTATCACTGGGTGGAGGGACAGATGGGAGAACACTCACACCATGGAATCTTAGGCAGCCATTAATAAAAATAAGCCACACTGTTTTGTTTGTAGGGATTTCCTTGGGTATTGCTGAATTTACATTAGGATGTAAAGAAATGTTGCTGGGCGTGGTGGCTCATGCCCTATAATTCCAGCACTTTGGGAGTCTGAAGCGGGTGGATCACCTGAGGTCAGGATTTCAAGACCAGCATGGACAACATGGTGAAACCCCATCTGTACTAAAATGCAAAAATTAGCTGGGTGTGGTGGCGGGTGCCTGTACTCCCAGCTACTCAGGAGGCTGAGGCAGGAGAATCGCTTGAACCCGGGAGGCAGAGATCGCAGTGAGCCGAGATCCCACCACTGCATTCCAGCCTGGGTGACAGAGCGAGACTCTGTCTCAAAAAAAAAAAAAAAAAAAAAAAGATGGCAGCTTTACTGGTTCAAAAAAAAAAAAGTGAAAAAATGTATATAACAGGACTCCAAATGTGTATGTTTGTATGGTGGTTATATAAGAAATTGCTAAATAAAATACAGGGTGTCCTGGTTAAATTTTAATTTTAGCAAAACAATCATTGCATGGAATATACCTACACTAAAAACAATTCTTTGTTTCTCTGAAATTCAAATTTGACTGAATGTCCTGTATTTTTATTTGCTAAATCTGGCGACTCTGTTATATAAGGATGGAGAAAACTGTGAAAGGAAATATACCAAATTGTGGGAGGCAAGGAAAAATGGCACTAGTAACACCCCCAGCAAATATGAAATGAACCCATTTTTGTAAAATTATATGCTTATGTGCATACATAGATGCACAAGGAAGTTAGAAAAAAAGGTTTTGGCATACTAAGTCTTTTGTAAGAAGCATGCATCATATACTAAGTGAAAAAGGCATGTGGCAGAGTAAAAAGTATAGTAAGATAATATGTGTGGAAAAAGAAACAAGTAAAACCCAGTATATGCTTGTTTAGGCTTGTATATGCAAAGGTAGAGCTTTGAAAAGATGCCCATAAGACTGTCCAAAGTGGTATCTCAGGGTATGGGGTTGGGGAATTAGGGTTAGCTTTGCTTTTATACTTCTTTATATGATATTATATCAACTAGCTCCAACAAAATCTAGTACTTATGTATTTTGAAAAAAAATAAATTTTTTAAGTAAGGCATTTAATCTGGAGCTTAAGAGCATAAACTTTGGAGCTATATACATGTGGACTCAGGCTGGATCCTGCCACCTTCTAATTGTATACTCCTTGGAAAGCTACTTCACCTTATCTGTAAAATGGAGATAAAATGCATGCCTATTGTTTATGATGAAGATTATAAAGAGCTCTGTATTGTAACTGGCACACAATGGTTAACAACCTCTAATGCCAGTTATTATTATTACTAGAAAATAACCTAGGACATAAAAATCATGATATTCAGGGAGATGCCTACAAACCCTGATCTTCTTGAAGCAAACCTTGATCTGCTGGAGGTAAGCCACCACCAACTGGCTTAGGATCTTGACCAAGACATCTCATCTCTGGGCCTCAGTGCCATATCTACACCATGAGAGAGATAGACTGGGTATCCTCTGATTCATTCATTTACTCAACAGTTTTGAAGCAGTTGCTCCAAATCAATCCCTGGCCTAGAAGCTGGAGACACAGAGAAGAGGGACCTGGCTCTACCTTCAAAGACCTGGCTTGAGTCAAAGGTGACTCAGTCTCTCGGAGGTGATGCAAATAAACCAGGTGGTAAGTGCTACGAGATAGTGCATTTGGGCACCCAGAGAAGTGGGAGTCAGAGAAAACGGCCTTTTCAGCCACAACATTTGTGAACATCTTTCAGGTCTTGGATTTTTTTAAGACACTGTGCGGATGGTTCCCAGAAAGGTAAGCAGAGAACAGAGGCTGAGTACCTGATGTTGATTTAGGATCGGCAGGGGAAGCAGGATGCCACACTGAGAACATCTCCTCAGAATGTCATAGGCTGCTTTATCTCCTCTAGGGGAGCTGGTCCTGGGCTTGGGCTCTGACATCAAAAGTGGATCCAAGGTTTTGTTTTTGCTTCTTGGTGCTTTCTTTGATGAACTTTCAGAATGAAGAGGAAATCTGTTTATACTTCTTGTCTTTGGACGAACATCTTTCTCCATCGTGGAAGTTTGATTTTCAGCAGCTTGACTTGGAAGAGATGAAGGAAGAATTTCTGGATTTCCAACAGGAAAGTGTTTCTTAAACTCTGAGTCTGGACAACATTTACCCTGCAATTGTGAATAATATATCAAATTTTAAAATGACTTCAGCTTTAATGGTCAGAAAATACAGTAGACTAGATAACACAAGAAATTCCCACTGTAAACACTTTTATATGGTGTATAAAATGTGACAGACATTCAATTTAATAGCTGGCTTTGCAGGAAAGAAAGAAAATTTTGCATTCCAGGAATGAAGGTCTGACTGGTTGCTATGGTTTGAATGTGTCTCCTCCAAAATTCAGGTGCTGCCAATGTGATGGTATTAAGAGGTGGGGCCTTCGGGGGTGATTAGATCATGAAAGGTCCTCCCTTTTTAATGAGATTAGGGTCCTTATAAAAGAGGATTCATGAAGTATTTGGCTACAGCCTTCTACTCTTTTGCTTTCTACCATGCTAGGAGGCAGCAAGAAGGCCCTCACCAGACACCAAATGGTGGTGCCTTGATCTTGAACTTCCCAGTCTTCAGAACTGTTCGAAATAAATTTGTGTTCTTTATTATTACTCTGTCTGTGGCATCCTGTTATAGCAGCACAAATGGACTGGTTAAGCACAGGAGTTGACACTGCTTATGGGAGATGTAGGGTCAACTTTGTAACTAGGGGCTTGGATGACAGGAAAGTCCCATCCACACAGGTGGGGATTTGGAAGTAAGACTCTATTGATCCTGCATAAAGCTGGAAACTTTAAAGGATAAATTATGGTGGGTAAGAGGAAAAGTATCAGCTAATGAGAAAAGGAAAGTGGCAAGGAAGCTTTTCTTTCTTGGGTCGGTATTTGAGTGTGGAGATGAAAACTTATGCCCCTGAAAACTCAAAATCACAGGTCCATGCCATTCCTGTGTGTGGGATTAGGATTTACTTTGGCCTCATGGTCTGGGAATCCCTGAGCAGAAGAATTAACATAAACATTGAGATGTCTGGCAGAAGCAATCACAAAATTCCTCTGGAGGGACAACAGCCTCAAAATAGGTCATAGAGGATCCTCATAGGTAGAGTCCCACCAGATAGAAACTCACAATCCAAAATTACAAACACACAAGGAAGCAATCCACCTTGAGTAAGAGTCACAGACACAAAAGTAGTCAGATTAGCCTCCAAGAAGTTCAGGTAATGCAACTATAGGATAGAGACTGTAAAATAAATTAATTAAAAATGATTAAATCTGGGAAAAGAATAACATCTCATGAAAAACAGAACAGGTAAATTTGAAATTTTCTAATTTGTAATTAACAAATAATAACTTTATATATTTATGGGGTACAATGTGATATTTTAATATATATATACATTGTGGGATGATTAAATCAAGTTAATTAACATATCAATCACTTCACATACCTATCTTTTTTTTGTAGTGAGAACAAAAATAGGCAAATTTGAAAGAAAGATAAATTGAACTTCTAGACATGAAAAATGCAGGTATTGAACCTAAATGGATGGGCTAAAAACAGAAAATTAGATTTGGCCAAGAAAGAATGAATGAACTTGGAGATAATTTCAGGAAATTACCCAGAATATAAGAGATAGAAATAGAGAAAATATGAAAGGTTAAGAGACATAAGGCGATTAAAAGAGAGAAATGAAAAAAAAGGAGAGTCATGAAAAAAAAGAGAGTCATGAAGCTAGAATGAGAATGCTTAATATACATGTGTTATGTTCCAGAAGGAGAGTTGAGAGAATGTGGGAGAGTTGGGGAATGTTGGGAATTCAAAGAGATAATAGATGAGAATTTTCAGGCCTGATTAGTGACATAAATCTTTATATTAAGGAAAGAGAAATCCTGAGCAGGAGAAAAGCAAACACATTTGAGTACATTGTTCTGAACAGAATGAATAAAAATAAAACTACTCTTAAACACGTTACAGGTAAAAGGCAAAGAGGATCTTGAAATCAACCAAATATAAAGATTACGTACAAAGGAATGGCAATTAGGCTGGAAGAAAATACATCAACAGCAATAACAGAAGTGGGATGGCAGTGGAATAATCTTCAAAATGATAAGAGAAAATAGCTGTTAATCTAGATTTTGATATCCAGCTAAACTATCATTCATGGATGCAAAAAACAAAAAGCTTATTTTCAGGCAACTAAAGATTTACTACTCAAGGTTCTTGGTGAAGAAGCTACTGAGATGTATTTCAGGAAGAGAGAAATCATACCCAGAAGGAAAGCTTAGGATCCAAGGAAGAATGTGAGTAAAGAGAAGGGTAAACTTGTGAGTATATCCAGCCGGGCACAGTAGCTCATGCCTGTAATCCTAGCACTTTGGGAGGCCGAGGTGGGCAGATTATGTGAGGTCAGGAGTTCAAGACCAGCTTGGCCAACATGGAAAAGCCCATCTCTACTAAAAATACAAAAATTAGCCAGACGTGGTGGCACACACCTGTAGTACCAGCTACTTGAGAGGCTGAGGCAGGAGAACTGCTTGAACCCAGGAGGCGAAGGCTGCAGTGAGCCAAGATCGTGCCACTGCACTCAAGCCCAGGCAACAGAGTGAGACTTTTGTCTCAAAAAAAAAAAGAAAGAAAGAAAGAAAAAAAGCAAAAACAAAAACATGTGAGTATATCTAAACAGGCATGAGTTACATAAATAACAACAATAATCAGTAAAGAGGGGTAGTATGAAAGCAAAATGAAACAAAATTCTGGCAGCATTTTCATGTAAGATAGTTACAGTGTTAACATGTTCTCAAATCTATATACTATTTGTAAGGAAAGTAGAGATAATGACTAACTTTAGACTTTATTAAGTCAAGTATTTATATTAAAATGTTAAGGGTAACTATTGAAATGATAGAAATAAATGTAAAATTGACGAATCAGTAGGAAAGAAGAAAGAGAATAAAGAAATCTTGCTCAATCCAATAGAATACAAGGGAGAAGCAAGCAGCAGCAGCAGCAGCAGCAGCAGCAGTAGTAATGAACAAGAGTGGTAAATGCAAGGCCCCAAAACGATGGGGGAAAATTATTGTTAACATCATTGAGAGTGATAAAGGCATTGTGATTAAGAAAATGACTGTATTTTTGAGATATTAAAGAATGATGGTGAAATAACAGGATATCTTGGATTTGCTTTAACATACTTTAGAAAAAAGAAAACAAACAAAGTATAGTTCAAGCCTGGAAAACTTTTGATTTCCACGTGTTAACAGCTATTTTCTCTTAGCACTTTGAAGATTATTCCACTGCATACCCACTTCTATTATTGCTGTCGATATATTTGCTTTCAGCCTAACTGCCATTCCTTTGCTTGTAATCTTCTTCGGCTGATTTCAAAGAAATCAACCTTTGCCTTTTACCTGTAATGTATCTAAGAGTAGATTTATTTTTATTCACCTTGTTTAGAACAACAACTGTTGTATCTGGGGAGTAAATACATGAATGTTTATTGTATTAACTTTCTACTGTCATATTTATTTGAAAGTTTTTGTAATCAATTTTATTTCTTTTATTTTTAGTGGACAAGTAATAATGATACATACTTATAGAATACAGAATGATTTTCTAATACATGTATACAGTGTGTAGTGGCCAAATCAGAATTGTAATAAGATTTTTAATAAACAGATTAAGATGGTCAATAGATTCTATAGCCACCCAAGCTTTCATTTTCAGACATATAAGGCCTAAAAAATTTGCCTCTCATGCTTTCTTTCTCAAGAAACTATTTGGGGATATGTTCTATCAAACAAGGAGTAACCTAAGAAAGAGAAAGATGAGACCTGAGATTTGGGAATCAGAACTCCAACCGTGGAGAGAGTGGAAGAAATTCCAGACCAACAGCTAATCATCAAGCCTGGGGCATAACATGCTCCCAAAATGAAATGGACAGACTATCTGATGTGTGTAGTTGTACTCAGGGGAATTTTCAGATCTGGTAGAGAATTTTAGGGATGATTTAGTGATAGGTACCTAGAAAGTGAAGCAAATGAAAAACCGAAGCAATTATTAAGTCCAGGTAAAACAAAAAGTTGTAGGAGAAAGAACACATAATCACAATTCATGTGGAAAACCATTTATAATGTTTACATGGTTATACTAATGTAATACTGAATATTTATTTAACCAGAATGAGTGAAATCAATACATTGGAAGGATGAAATGAAGAACTTTGGAGGTGTGTGTGTGGGATGGGTGGTATAAAAAAGTGAAATCTATATTCCTAAATCCTTATGAGTCAATAAGTAATATCTAAAACTGGAAAAAATATAAGAAGGTGCTTTAGACATATGAAGGTGATTACCAGAAGAAACAGCTAAAAGCAAAAGTAGAGTATTTGTGTCTGGGGAGTAGTTAGCATGAAGGGGACCAGTGGGGCTTATAGTTTTTCTGAGGTCGTGGGAGACAATTAACAAGGGCCATAATAAGTAAGTAAATTAGATAATATGTTAGAAGTTGGCAAATGCTATGGAAAAAATAATA
The DNA here is from genome assembly GCF_000001405.40 of Homo sapiens. Taxonomy (NCBI): domain Eukaryota; kingdom Metazoa; phylum Chordata; class Mammalia; order Primates; family Hominidae; genus Homo; species Homo sapiens. Next base: position 6,766,228 of record NC_000017.11, on the reverse strand, counting down.
GAAGAAGGTAAGGGGTTGGTAAATATGTGATGGAGAGGGAGTTGCAATTTTAAATAGGTTGTTGTGGTACATCTCCTTGAGAAGGTGCCATCTGGGCAAAGACTTGAGAGAAGTGAGAGAGTTAGCTCCTGGAGTAGGGTGGGGAAGGTGAGGAGGTAGCTTCCAGCCAGAGGCAGTAGCCAGTGAAAAGGCCCTAAGGCATGGTATGCTCAAGAAACAATCAGGAGGCCAGTGAGCTGAACAGGAGTAGTACATGAGATCAAAGAGGTGATGAGATAAGAAGGGAGGCAAAGATGACATAGATCTCTAAAGCCACTGTAGTTTTGAGTTTGCATAAAATGGGGCAAGAATCAGTACAGAGATCTGAACAGAGGAGCCAAACAATCTGACTTGTATTTTTAAGGGATCACGTTGACCTCTGTGATGAGAATAGACTGTAGGGGGCAAGGTGAGAAGTAGGAAGACCGTTTAGGAGACTGCTGCAGCATCTGGGCTAGAGAAGATGATGGTTCATACCAGGGTAGCAATGCGGAGGGAAAGAGAAGTCGAGAGTGAACCTGAGATTTTGGCCTGAACAACTGGAAAGATAGAGTTGCCATCAACTGAGATGGGCCAAGCTGTGGCAGAGAGGATTCCATTTCAGATGTGTTACATTTAAGATGTCTATCAAGCATTCAAGTGAAGATGCAGTAAATAGTAATATACAAATCTAGAGTTTGGGGAGAAAAACCCAGACTGAGATATAAATTTGGAAGTGTCTGACTACATATGGCTTTTTAAAAAATTTTTAAATTTTTATTTATTTATCTATTTTTTGAGATGGAGTCTCGCTCTGTCGCCCAGGCTGCAGTGTAGTGGCGTGATCTCGGCTCACTGCAAGCTCCGCCTCCTGGGTTCACGCCATTCTCCTGCCTCAGCCTCCCGAGTAGCTGGGACTATAGTCACCCACCACCACACCCGGCTAAGTTTTTGTATTTTTAGTAGAGACGAGAGTTCACTGTGTTAGCCAGGTTGGTCTCGATCTCCTGACCTTGTGATCCTCCCACCTCGGCCTCCCAAAGTGCTGGGATTACAGGCATGAGCCACCATACCCGGCCTTACATATGGCATTTTTAAAAATCAGGAGGTAGGATGAAATAATGAAGGCAGTGAATATAGGTAGAGAAGAGACCAGAGACTAAGCCCTGGGGCCCCCCAAAATTAAGAGGCTGGGGAGGTAGAGAATGAGAGACCACCAATGTCCTTGAAAACCAGGAAAGTGTGGTACCCTGGAAGCCGAGAAAGTCCACTGAGGAAGAGGGAGTGATGAGCAGTAAATGCTTCCCATAAATTGAGAACTGAGAACTGAGCATTGGATTTAGCAATGCAGAGGTCATTGATTTTGACAAGAGCAGATTTGGTTAAAATGGAGAGCCAGACTGGAGTGGGAATAAGAATGAGAGAAGAAAAGATGGAGGCAGTTACTTATAGACAACTAGCTCAAATGTTTTTCTACGGAGGGGAACAAAGAAACAAGATGGTAGCTTATAGGAAATGGGATCAGAAGTATTTCATGTTTTTCTGGCTTTGGGTCATATTAATAAAAAGTTAAAGACTGAAAACCACAAAACCACCTAGTATACATGATTTCAATCCTTAATTTTCAAAATTAAAAAAAAATTCTTTTCGTGCAAGGCCATTGATATATAAATATTCAATAGTGGTACCCCTTTAAAAAGTTATTGTAAGAAATGTTAGGACAACCTAGAGATGTGAGACTTTGTTGTTACCTGCGTGTACAGCTCATTTAACCTCTCTCTGTTGCAGGACAGAGAGGGGAGAATTGCTGGAGCAGTGTAGCAAAAAACTTGTGTGACCTTGTGTAGGCAAAAAGAGAGGGTATATTATACCAGTAGGAGGGGATAGGCTTTAGAGAGGCACATAGGAAGCTCCTCTATGGTTAAGAGGTGGGAAGGCAAAGTAAGTGAGTGTGGATGCTGCCAAGGAGATAGATCTGGTGTTGGCTGGTTGTGGATGTCTTCTTTTCCTGAACAAGGAGATAAACCATTATCCCCATTTTCCTCAAAAGAAGAAAGAAGCTCAGAGAGGTTACACAGCCAGTAAGGGGCACAGCAGAACTAAAATTCAGAGTTTCTGAGCACAAATCCAGTTCCATGTGTATTGGAGCTCCCCACTTCCCTGTAGCCTTCAAATAAGTGTGTAGGTGCCCTGGTTGCCAGGCTGGACATTTGAAGGGAAGTAGTCAGCTTTACTCTTGTTTTGGTGCTCACCAAGTATTTTCTCATTCAAACAGAACACATGGACCACTTATAGGATCGAATAAACATCAGTACTAAGGAAAACAAGTCAGTAGGTGATTTCCACGTACAGCCAAGGCTGAGAATCCCGTGGCTGGGGCAGCGCATCTCAGACTTGAAATGCCTGGGAAATCATGTGACCCTGCATATTCTGATTTAGCATTTCTAGGGGGAGGGCCTGAGATTCTGCATTTCTAACAGGATTCCAGGTGATGCTCATGCAGCTGGTCCACAGACTGCACTTCAAAAAGCAAAGAGCTGAAAGGTGGAAACAATCCGAATGTTTACCAACAAGTAGAGAAACAAAATGTGGGATGACCGTAAAAAGGCCATTAACTTTGGGAGGCCGAGGAAGGCGGATAACCTGCGGTCAGGAGTTTGAGACTGGCCTGGCCAACATGGTAAAACCCCGTCTCTACTAAAAAAAAATACAAAAATTAGCCGGGCGTGGTGGCAGGCACCTGTAGCCCCAGCTACTCCGGAGGCTGAGGCAGGAGAATCGCTTGAACCCGGGAGGCAGAGGTTGCAGTGAGCCGAGATCACGCCACTGCACTCCAGCCTGGGCAACAGAGTGAGACCCTGTCTCAAAAAAATAAAAGAAAAGAAAAGGCCATTAAAAGGAATGAAATGCTGACACATGCCACAACTACAACACGGGCAAACCTTGAAAATGTTACGGTAAGTGAAAGAAGATGGTTACATAAGACCACATATTATATGAGTCTACTGATGTGAAGTGTCCAGAATAGACAAATCCATAGAGATAGAAAGCAGATTAGTGGTTGCCAGGAACTGGGAAGATGAGGGAATGTACAGTACCTGCTAATGGGTATAGGATTTCTTTTTGGAATGATGAAAATATTCTAGAACCAGATTGCACAACATTGTGAATGTACCAAATGTCTCTATAGTGATGGCAAATTTTACATTATACGTGGTTTACCACAATAGTAAAAAGAAAAAGAAAAGAGCGAAAAGCTGGATCGTCTCTATGGTTTCTTTAGTTTTGATATTCTGTAGTTTTAAGCACTGAAGTGTTAAGAAAGGTAAACAACTTTCTGCCCAAGGAGAAGGAGAAGAGTTCTTTGGAGAGAAGCCTTGGTAAGTTTCCCAAAGGGGAAATGCTCCATTCTGTGCAAAAGAAGGGAGCAACTTGGCACAGCAATGCACTAAACGGCGCTTAGGGGCTATGGAGGGAAGAACCTGTGAGTGTTCCCAGGCAAAATCAGTCAGTCAGTCAATCACGTAACTGCGCCTCTACAGAGTCCTCTTTTTGCACCAAGCTCTGATGTCAGGAAAATGGAAAAAGTCATGCAGTTTTGCAGGAAGCTCACAGTCTAATAGAGAAGACTCCCACATGGGACCGAAAACAGTAAGACAGGCCCTACTGAGGACCAAATTGCAATGTCCAGGCCATGAAGTTTGGAGATGGTCAGAGGTGATCGGGGGTGTTGGGAGTGGCAAGGGAAGCCCCTTTGAAGGGCTGGGCACAAATGAAGACCAATTTTTGTGTGCTTGATTAGCCTAAGCAAGTCACTAAACTATCTTTTGGAACAAAGCAAAAAATAAATATGGGACCCTTTAATATCCATGCTATGTAAAATTGGGCCCAGAATCTGCCTTTCCTATCACACTTTTCAGAATGTGGATGAACTATTGGCACCATTAGAAAATTACTAAGTGCTACTCACCATATGGTGGAAATACTTATTTTCTGGAATCATTTGGTTGCAATAATGACAGTAGATTTCCCTTTCAGGAGCTGAAATTCTTTCCCCTGAATAAGCAGAGAAACAACACCACAAATGATTGTCCTTGTCAACGGCTAGCCCAGCTCTCCCACAACTGCATACATGGCCTGTGCTCATGAGCACGAACTGCCCCCCGGACCTGCCTGGTCTTGACTTTCCTGCGCTGCCGGCATCCTTGACCACACAGGCAACTCTTGGCCGAATCACCCACATCATTTCCTTTATGGCCACAGATGTGCACTCAGGGCAGCAGCAACCGTAATGGAGAGACATTTTCCTGGATCAGGACTGGTTTCTAAGGAGATGAATGGAGCTGTAGCCACGGATGCCAACCCCCTCCATTCTGACTGTGCTCTTTCATTGCACCAGTTTTCAGACTCTGTGATCAGACCAGGTGTTGGTTGAACACATTTTTGTTGACAGTGTTGAAGCTGTGTTGTGTTGTGTTGTGTTGTGTTGCACTGAAGTTGTGTTGAAGACTGTGTTTGATTCTGTTGACGTCCAGCCATGCTGGGATGAAGGAAATATACATGACTCTCACAATTTCCAGGTTTCCATTGGCCAGTTTTGCCCTTGGGTGGATTGTTTATCAGGAGAAGGTTACTGTCTGGGGAGTTTTAGGCTCTCTCCCATGTTACCATGTTACCAAAACAACTAGCAAAGACACCAAAGGATCTGTCACACTGATGGTTGTGTGACAGTAAATACACCCTCATAAAGAGGTGAGTGATTCAAGTGAACATAAAATGGTACCAGGGAGCCAATACATAGGCCCCCAGGCCAGGAGCCATTGCTAACTCCCTTCTGGCCATTGTTGATAATGGAAAAAGCCCTAGATTCAGTGCCAGGAAGTGCGGGAGTCCAGTCTTATTTTTGCCTCTAGCAAGTCCCTGCTTTATTCTGTGTGTAGGTTTCTCATCTGTAAAAGGATGCAATGGATCTCTGCCAGGCTAGGACTGTGCTAGAGGTGCTCAAAGAAAGCCTCCTGTTTCCTAGGACTCCCCATGGTCCCCCCCTTTTTTTTTTGAGACAGAGTTTTGCTCTTGTTGCCCAGGCTGGAGTGCAATGGCACGATCTCGACTCACTGCAACCTCCGCCTACCGGGTTCAAGTGATTCTCCTGCCTCAGTCTCCCAAGTAGCTGGGACTACAGGCGTCCGCCACCACGCCCGGCTAATTTTGTATTTTTAGTAGAGACGGGGTTTCTCCATGTTGGTCAAGGTGGTCTCGAACTCCCAACCTCAGGTGATCTGCCCGCCTCAGCCTCCCAAAGTGCTGGGATTACAGGCATTAGCCACCCCGCCCAGCCTTCTCCATGGCCTCTTTACTCAACTTTGTGGTAGCTAGGCTCTAGCCCCGGCCTCCTAGTCTCCCTGGACCAGTCATTTGAAGGCCACAGCAGACACACAGGAAGGCCACTCTGAGGCATGGTTTAGAATTAGAATAGCCAGATGAATTGAGATCTATACAGCAAATACACTTGTCATCCGTCCTGTTGAGAGCTTCCCTTCCTTGCATCCCATCCAGGAAAGGCTCTGGCCCTTGGAACGTCTCTCTTCCACCCCAGTTTGTGTGCTTACCTTTCCCGAGCTGGGCCTGTTCACTGCGACAGACATCTCTGTGCTGGGCGAGCATGCGGTGCATGATGAACTGGCCACAGCCTTGGCAGAGCTCTGTCCGGCTGCCACAGTAGGACTCGTGGAGCTCCAGCTTGCTGAGCTGCATGTCCAGTTTGCAGAACTTACACTCAACAGGGCGCTCCTGGCACTCATTGGCCTGTGGGAGGCAGCAGGAAGGGCATGATCACTGGCCCTTTTTTTTTTTTTTTTTTTTTGAGACAGAGTCTCATTGTGTTGCCCAGGCTGGAGTGCAGTGGCTTGATCTTGGCTCACTGCAACCTCCGCCTCCCGGGTTCAAGCAATTCTCCTGCCTCAGCCTCCCAAGTGGCTGGGACCACAGGCGTGTGCCACCACGCCCAGCTAATTTTTGTACTTTTAGTAGAGACGGGGTTTCACCATGTTGGTCAGGCTGGTCTCGAACTCCTGACCTCGTGATCCACCCGCCTTGGCCTCCCAAAGTGCTGGGATTACAGGCGTGTGCCACTGCGCCTGGCCGATCACTGGCCTCTTTGACTGTAGGCAGATCAAGGACTTGTGCCCATCTCCCTAGGGAATTAGGGCCAATACGAGAAAGCAGATGAGAAGGGCCAGAGTGCGGGACTGCCTTCGGGGGATCTGAGCTCTGATGGACTCATGGACCATGGAAAACCCTTCTGATCAGTATCTGGGGGACAGGAGAACCTGTGTTATGCGGTGGGCTAGTTCTCCACTGCTCTCCAAGCCTAATGGGGTGAAAAGAGTGGTCAGGTGGAAATCTCTATTACTGGCCTCCCGTTTCCCCTTCCTCTCCTTTTCTCAGGTTGGTCTATTTGGCTGTAAAGGAGAAATCACATGGGGCTCTTACCTTATGAAACTCCAGCGAGGACTTCTGCATGCTCTGCTGACACATCGTACACCCAACCTAAACACACACACACACACACACACACACACCAGATGTGGGTCCACCCAGCACCCAGGGCCTGCCCCACATCCACTTTGGCTCACAGTGTTCCGGGTTTGGGTCTGTGAACTCCCAGAGGGCAGGGATCCGATGTGGCTACCTCAGTGTCTCTCTAGCACCCCGCCCAGTGTTCAAGAAGTGTTTGTCAGACCAGTCTGAGTTGGCAACGGCTGCCTGAGCTTGAGTATCTCCAGAGAGACAGATCAGGGGCCCCAGGAGGAATGGACATGGAAAGGCGGGAAACAGGGCTCCATCTGACTGCCTTCCAGGACCTTCCTTTTTCACATCCTCTCTTTACAGATCTCAAGAGAACAGCCAGTCTTTCCTGAAACCAGAACCTCTTGCCTATGCCAGATCCATAAGCCTGTAGGGAAAGGATTGGAAATAGGAAAACTGGAGGTAGACTCAGATTAGCATGAAAAAGGCAGGATTAACATTTCCTTTCCATGGGCTTTGTGTGGAGGGGCTAAATGACTTCCCATGGCCCTCAAGTGAGTCTCTGCCTGGGGGACTGGACCCTTGCCTTAAGTCCCCAGCCCTCACCCCAACTCCCGGACCCCATCTCTCCTGCAGGGAGGACTGGAGCCATTCCCTGACTCCCAGACCCCTTCTTTCTTGCAGGGAGGATGGAACACTTGCCCCTCCCAGACCCCATCTCACCTGCAGGGAGGACTGGACCCTCGTCCCCCAACTCTCAGACCCCATCTCTCCTGCAGGGAGGACTGGACCCACTCTGTGACTCCCAGATCCCATCTCTCCTGCAGGGAAGATGGAACACTTGCCCCTCCCAGACCCCATCTCACCTGCAGGGAGGACTGAACACTCTCCTTGACTCCCAGACCCCATCTCACCTGCAGGGAGGACTAGACCCTCGTCCCCCAACTCTCAGACCCCATCTCTCCTGCAGGGAGGACTGGACCCACTCTGTGACTCCCAGACCCCATCTCTCCTGCAGGGAAGATGGAACACTTGCCCCTCCCAGACCCCATCTCACCTGCAGGGAGGACTGAACACTCGCCTTGACTCCCAGACCCCATCTCACCTGCAGAGAGGACTGAACACTCGCCTTGACTCTCAGACCCCATCTGTCCTGCAGAGAGGACTGAACACTCGCCTTGACTCCCAGACCCCATCTCACCTGCAGAGAGGACTGAACACTTGCCTTGACTCTCAGACCCCATCTCACCTGCAGAGAGGACTGAACACTCGCCTTGACTCTCAGACCCCATCTCTCCTGCAGAGAGGACTGAACACTTGCCTTGACTCCCAGACCCCATCTCACCTGCAGGGAGGACTAGACCCTCGTCCCCCAACTCTCAGACCCCATCTCACCTGCAGGGAGGACTGAACACTCACCTTGACTCTCAGACCCCATCCTCCCTGCCGCCTCCTCACCTGCTGGTGCTCAAGCTTGCAGTGCTCCTCCATGGTTTCCTTGGGGACAGGCTCCTCACACTCCGGACACAGGACCAGGAACCGCAGGCAGTAAGCCTCATGGAGGGTGAAGTTGGCAGAGACTACATGTCTTTTACTACAGGGTCAAGGTGTGGGGATAGAAAAATAGACTTATTTTCATATTATAAAACATGGAGCTGTATTTCATACCCAGGGCTAGATCTCCAGAGGCCTTAAGCACTGAACATGTGATGATGATGACACCACCTGCCCCACACTCCCTGTGTGGGTCCAAAAGTCAGAACAGTGAGGCAGCATCTAATAAGAATAAGGATGATCTACAGAGCTCTTACATTGCTGGGGCAGGGCATGGGAAGGAGCAGGAGGGAGGAATTACAAAGGGGCATGGGGAGCTTTTGGGGTGACAGGAAGCTTCATTATCTCAATTACGGGGATGGTGTTTCATGGATGTATATAACTTAGGCCAAAACTTATCAATTGCTACCCTTTAAAATGTGAGGTTTATTGTAGGTCAATTATACCTCTATAAGGCTGTTTTTAAAATGAAACATTTCATTTTAAATAATGTAAATAATTAAATTATTTCAATTTAAATAATTTGAGAGAAGTGCCAAATTCTCTTGAATCTTTTTTCTTGTTTTCTGGTGCCCCTGTTTGGTCCACAGTGTTAGGAACGCAGCCCTGCTAGGCTCACGCTTCCTGCCAGGGCCATGCCAACTTCCAAAATCTCCAAAGCGAGAGCTTCCCAAGTCTCCCCTGCCTTCAGGTTCACCTGCGCTAACTCACAGAGACTCCGAGGTTCTTCCTGGAGACCACAGTGAAGGAAGGGTTCTGAGCCTCCCACTTCCTGGGCAGGGCATTTTTCTCTAACCGTCCTTTTTGCCAAGAAGTGCCCCCTTTTGGCTGGGTGTGGTGGCTCATGCCTGTAATCCCAGCACTTTGGGAGGCCGAGGCGGGTGGATCACCTGAGGTCAGGAGTTAGAGATCAGCCTGGCCAACATGGTGAAACCTCATCTCTACTAAAACAATACAAAATTAGCCGGGCATGGCGGTGCACGCCTGTAATCCCAACTACTCGGGAGGCTGAGGCAGGAGAATCACTTGAACCCGAGAGATGAAGGTTGCAGTGAGCTGAAATCGCGCCATTGCACTCCAGGCACTCCAGCCTGGGCAAAAAGAAGCGAAACTCCATCTTAAAAAAAAAAAAAAAAGAAGAAGAAAGAAAGAAATGACTCCTTTCATTTCCATCAGCTCTTGCTTGTGGCAGCTTGGGAGAAGGGAAATGGGGTGGCTGTAGCCGTAAAGGCCCAGGGGACGAGAAGAGTTACATGCCCATGTTCCTGGCACAGGGGACGTGCTCCGAGAGGGACTGTCAAAGCCTCACTCCTCTTCTGCCCAGGCAGCGGGCACACAGGCAGCATCATCTTCCCTTCCTCTGCTCTCTCTCCTCTGCCTGACCTGGCCCCTTCTCCCCCTGCTCTTCCTGGGCTGGTTGAGAAACCAGAGTACTTGAAGGGTCTGGCTGGAGCAAAGCTCTCTGGGGAGGGTCCACTCAGGTCCCTGTCACAGGTAGGGAGCTTTGAGAATGGGGCTTTTTGATCGGTCAGATTCCGCGCCCCCCCTCCCGTTAGAGGTGTGGTCCCAGCCCCCTGCTCTGTCCCCCCTGCCCCGCCCCACGGCTCCCTTTCCAAGGAGGGTGAGAGTAGTCCTGGAGAATCTCCGTGGGACACTTTCTTTCACAGATGGGTGTGAAGGTCATAGTATCAGAACCCCAAATTAGGACCCAAGGTCTCACAAGTATGAGTAGCCCAGTTGGGACCACTGGCCGGGCTATTTGGCTTCAGAACTGTCCCAGAAAGCCTAACATTTGGGGGAAAGGGGCTGCAGTGAAGTGGAGGTAATGCTGCCCACCCCCACCCAGAGATTACCAAGTTTAAACCCTCCTACCCTTGGGGCCCACGGTCTCCAGCTGCTTGTCCTCCTAAGTGTTCTTATGCAGGAACCACTTTCTGCTCCCTTCAGAAACAGCCCTATGTCGTCTACGTCTCTCCCTCGCCAGCCCGGGTCTGCCGCTGGAGAAAGCACTTTCTTACCAGTTCCTGCACACCGAGAAGTCTCCTTCCATGTTCTGCTCTCTGCAGGCTTTCGGTTGAGTTTCGTTTCTTGCAGGCAAGGAAACAAAACTGAAAGTTTTCCGATGGCCCAGCCCACAGCTTCAGGGAGGGAGGAGATCTTCAGAATTCTCGGCTCAGGAGTTCCCCTTGATTCCTGAGGCTGGACCCTCCCAAGAAGCCCCTTTACAGCATGGCCAGCCCCTGCTGTCGCCCTTGGCCGTCATTCTTTGCTGCTGTCACAGCCGCATCTACCTCCCTGAGGCTGGCAGCCTGAGGCCAGGCCTCTCCTGGGCAGCACAGCAGCTTGTTCCCTCACCCTGGCTGGCTGGCTTCTCTCCGTCTGGGTCTCCATCCCTTTTCCAAACCATCCACCTCCCACCCTTCTCCCCCATCTCCGGCTCCCTTCTGGTCCTCCCCTGCAGGAAAGAGGGAACTTGCCATGTTGAGCTTGAATGCTGTTCCCTAAAAATGGCTCCTGGACTTCCAGGCGGTGAGGACCTTGCAAACAGCGTCCAGGGAGGCTCTGGGGATGCAGGGTGGTGTGAGCCCAGACCCAATCTGGTGTGTATCCTCCTGGGGGTCCTTAGAGTTTTTCCAGACCCTAGAAACAGCTGTGCTAACAGAAGAACTCTAAACAACATCTGGAGTGATGACAAGCAGGCCCAGAGAATTCCCGTGGCGTCTGCCAATGGGGTGGGTGCCGCCTCTCTGAGGAGGATAACAAGATTAAGGGAAATGTCCAGGCAGGGCTCCAGCCTCCAGGCAGGCTCTAAAATTCAGGCACTAAATGAGAAGCAGTGTGTGGTGGTACTGATGATCACAGTGATAGGAGGGAAGAATGAAAGACTGTTTCAACATTGTTCCTATGTTCCAGGCACCATTCTAAGCATTAGGTAGGCATTGTCTTCGTTTTAATCCCTCATGTAAGCATTATTAACTCCATTTTGCTATGGAAAACAGAGGCAGTGACAGAGTGAGACTCTGCCTCAAAAAAGAAAAATGAAATGAAAAAAGAGAAAATGGAGGCAGAGAGAGGCTAGGCCAATCGCTCAACATCAGAGCTGGGATTCACACCAGGTTGATATGACTCAGGTGTCTATGTACCTAACCAAGGCCCCATCCACCTCATTTGACAGCTAGTTGGGGTAGTGAGCACTTGGCTGAGAGTCAGAGACTGAGGTTTGCATCTTATCTTGTTCCCTTCCTCATCGGCTAGGCAAGCTCCTTAATCCTTCTGACCCTCACTACCCACTCCTGTCTGTCTCTGGGCAGTCTGTCAATATCAAGAATGAAAAACGAGTGGGCTTGGCTTGGTGGCTCATGCCTGTAATCCCAGCACTTTGGGAGGCCGAGGTGGGCGGATCACGAGGTCAGGAGTTCGAGACCAGCCCGACGAACATGGTGAAACCCCGTCTCTACTAAAAATACAAAAATTAGCTGGGTATGGTAGTGCTTGCCTATAATCCCAGCTACTCAGGAGGCTGAGGCAGGAGAATTGCTTGAACCCAGGAGGTGGAGGTTGCAGTGAGCCGAGATTGCACCACTGCACTCCAGCCTGGGCAACAGAACGAGACTCTGTCTCAAAAAAAAAAAAAAAAAAAAAGGGCTGTGCGCGGTGGCTCATGCCTGTAATCCCAGCCCTTTGAGAGGCCGAGGCGGGTTGATTATGAGGTCAGGAGATTGAGACCATCCTGGCCAACACAGTGAAACCCCGTCTCTGCTAAAAACTACAAAAAATTAGCCGGGCGAGGTGGCGGGTGCCTGTAGTCCCAGCTACTCGGGAGGCTAAGGCAGGAGAATGGCGTGAACCCAGGGTGGAGCCTGCAGTGAGCCGAGATCGCGCCACTGCACTCCAGCCTGGGCGACAGAGCGAGACTCTGTTACAAAAAAAAAAAAAAGAAAGAAAGACAGGAAGAAAGAAATGGAAAAGAAGGAAAAATGAAGAACTTTCTTTTCACATATTGTCTCCTGCTGAGATGGGATAGGGGTGGTGGCAGGGGTGTATAGATTGGACACCTTAGAGGAATGGAATGTGTGGCCAGGGGATAGGAGTGGAATTAGAAGTGACCATAAGTTGCTTCTCATCTACATCCTAATTTTCTTCCAAGATGTTTCCTCCTATAGACTGTCCCACCCACGCCAACCCTTCCCTTCCTCATCAAAATCCCAGCAGTTCTTCAGGACCAACTCCTATGCCAACACTGATCTAGAATCTACCTCCTTTGTCTCTGGCTTTGGTTAGTTGGCTGTGTGTCTATTGTCTCAACTCCTCCCCATCCAATCACAGGCATGGGCGATTTGAGAGCCAGCTCTTTCTGACCCACCACCCCTGCCTTCCTGGAGAGACCCGCGGGCTTTGTGCTTATTAGGCAGAGTGCAGTATTGAGCTTCGCAGTAGCAGGCAGTCAAATGCTGGCTGACCCGAATGGATGGGGTGTTTTGAGATAATTAAGCAGGGAGTTGGAAATCTCCCCCAACCCACACAACACCCCTGAGTCGGAGGGCTCTCAAAGTGGCAGCAATGGCCATTTTCTTTTCATTTCTCAAGATAACTTAGATTTCATAAAGAATATATGAATATACACTCTTTAAAAAAATGGAATGTTACAAATACAGCAATGTTTCTCTTTGACTGTCACGGCTGTTCCTGGGCCATCACTATTATTAATCAGAGAGTGTATGTAGGAACACTCTGGTTAGCACAAAAGCCTGTCCCCATTTCCACTACGACATCAATCGGTGCTGTGGGCTTGTATGATTTCATCATTCTGCCACCCGTCTTTGGCTGGTCGCCAACCCCAATCCCATTTAAAAAAAAAAAAACAAAAAACAGCTAGATGAGAAATGCTCTGTTGTGGGCTTAGAATTCCTTTCCAGGACACTGTGGCTACCCACTTGGCCGTTGTGGGGAGTTTCCGGCAGTCTCTTTGTGTCAGGCCTGTGGGTCAGGGGAGGGGGGTGAAGGTTGTCACAGGAAGCCAGTCTCTCAGACGTGAATTGGCCGGGCTGGCCATGTCACCTTTGCAGGAATCGGGGGGAAAGGGGAGCAGGAAGTCCTGGCTGGACTAGGACACAGGAATAATACACCCCTCCGTGCATTGTTTTGAAGATCAGAAGAGAAATTGTGTGAAAGCTGTACTTGTACAGCATGGAAGACAGGAAAGAATATTTAAAAAGGATTGTTTTAATAGTTTGGCTTTGAGAAGGGATCTTATTTAGGCTTTCTTCTTTTAAGGGATCACTATGCTAAGGAAGATGATGTAACGACAGAGATATTTCACTTCCCAGACAAAAATTATATGGTGCAATTGCACACACTTCTGTCGGTGGTGTCTTTAGAAGAATCCTGTGGTCAGAGTGGGCCTGAGTCCTGGGAGATGTGATCATATAGTCAGACTCCCCAAGCACAACGTGTTTGGATGGGAGTTCGTTTGTCAGACCACAGGAAATTGCATCAGATGACTAGTCTCTGGATGGCATTCAAGCCTGGGAATATCTGTGACTGTGTTTGGGGAAGACTCTAGGCCTGGCTGGGCAGCAAAGACGGGGAATGACCTGCTGGCTGCTGCTTAGTTGGCATATGAAGGGGAAGGAAGCTTGTCATTAAACTCATGGCAAGAAAGAGCAACTCCATGGCATTCTGTCTGTGTGGGGAGTGACCAGTACTTTTCTCTTCCTTTCTTTCTTTGAGAAGTCTCTTTTCACACATTCATAGTTTTGTTTTTGTTTTTTTCTTTTTCCTGGTTAAAACATCTCACCCACTTCCCCTGCCAACCCATTCCCGTCCAATCAGCAATCACAGTCCAAATGTCAAGGTCTCTTCCCTGATGTTTACAAGGGTGAGTGTTATGAGCCTTCTCCTCTTCCCAGATTACACATATTGGGTAAAGAGATGAAGTCTGTCTCTGTCACTCAGGCTGGAGTGCAGTGGTGATCATAGCTCACTGCAGCCTCGAACTCCCAGGTTCAAGCAATCCTCCTGCCTTCACACAGACTACAGGCACACACTACCATACCTAGCTAACTTTAAAAAAAATTGTAGAAATGGGGTCCCACTATGTTACCCAGGCTGGTCTTGAACTGGCCTCAAGTGGTCCTCCAACCTCGGTCTTCCAAGGTGCTGAGATTACAGAAATGTGCCGCTGCATCCAACCAATTTTTTAATAGCTTGATCATGGTATGGTCCCCTTGGTTGCTGCAAATCTCATGGAACTCAGGACAAATGACCATATATGTCAATTTTTTTGTTGTTTCTTTTTATGGTGGAGCGGGGGAGGTGAAAGAGAAAAAGTTTAGAGCTTCAGGGTCTTTTCACTCAGAATTTGGGGTGAACATACTCATATGGTTAAGTTGTGGTAATGAACAGCCACTCAGACTCTCATTTTAGGGAATAACTAGTGTTTTAATTTTTAAAAATGGAAACTTATGTTTCTTCCTACCCTGTCCTTGACATCACGTGGTCTTTCTTACAATGATTCACACTGGCTCCAAGATATTGTGTCCATCTCTTCTTCTTCTTCTTCTTCTTCTTCTTCTTTTTTTTTTTTTTTTTTTTTTTTTTTTTTTGAGAAGGAGTCTCGCTCTGTCGCCCGGGCTGGAGTGCAATGGTGCCATTTCGGCTCACTGCAACCTCCACCTCCCGGGTTCAAGCAATTCTCTGCCTCAGCCTCTTGAGTAGCTAGGATTACAGGCGTCCACCACCACATCAGGCTAATTTTTGTATTTTTAGTAGAAATGGGGTTTCACCATCTTGGCCAGGCTGGTCTTGAACTCCTGACCTCGTGATCCTTCTGCCTCAGCCCCCCAAAGTGCTAGGATTACAGGCATGAGCCACTGGGCCCGACCTGTCCATCTCTTCTTAATGTTCCATTTATAAGGTCATGCTGATACCTTAAAATTGGCCATAGTGAGAGTATTTAAACCGTGGAAATGGGCAAATGCTACAAATCGAGTATCTCCCCATCCCCAAGATCTGGCTGTTAAATACTTAGCAGCTCATCATTGTTTTTCTATCTCAGTAGCGACGGCTCCATGCAGAAGGCCAGGGTTATGTCTAAAAAGAAAAAGACAAAGTTAAAGAAAAGTTTACTGTTCCTTAATTATCTTGTTATCATGAAGATACAAAAATTCATTTGGAAGAGAGGTTGTAAGGATCAGCTTTTACATTGACATGTGAACTTATTTCCTCCAAAACAAAACGAATCAAAGGAAGGATATTAATTTGTTTGAGCAAATATGTCAGTATTTGTCAGGAAAAAAAAATTCAATGTCACGCCAAGTTGGCAGGATATTATTTTATAAAGCAGAGGGCATAGTCTGGGTTGAATTACTCCCCTATTCAAGTTTGTTATTACAAATTGTATTCGTGGAGAACAGCCTACTATATTCACTACTTAATTTTGATTGCTGATTAATGTTTTTGATAGCTAAATAGCCTATATACACCTGGCCCAGGGGCTACAATAACAAACAAAATGAAGTCTCAGCTCCTAGTGAGCTTGAATAGCAAGATATAATCTCACCCATGCATAGATATGATCTATTTTAATTGGAGTAAGTGGAGTGGTCAGATCATATCACCTTCATGGAAAGGTAAGACATGAGGGAGTCTAAATGTGTGTGTGTGTGTGTGTGTGTGTGTGTGTGTTGAATGCTGGAGGTGAGGGTGGTATGAGATAGGAAGGACATTTGAGGCAGAAGGCAGAGTACAGGGGAGTGGAACAGCATATTACTTTTGGGTAGATATATACCAAATATTTCATATGAGTATGGAAGCAATGGGAATGGATGATCTATGCCTTTTCTTCAGCAAGCAGTAAGTTGGGGAGCTACTTCCAATTCCATATTTTTTTTATGGTGAAAAGATATACATATATTTAGAATTAGCCAGCTGGACTCAGTTTAGATGATCCCAATTTCGTTGGTAACGTCCAAAGCATCGTAATCAGGAGCCAGTTGAACATATGCCTTCTTCTCTCCATCAGGCTGATCAGGGTGTTGACTGCGGCCACATCAATGTCACAGAGCTTCTTCACGGCCTATTTGATCTGGTGCTTTTTGGCTTTAACATCCACAATGAACATGAGTGTGTTGCTGCCTTCTGTCTTCTTCATGGCAGACTCAGGGGTCAGCAGAAACTTGATGATAGCATAGTGATCAAGCTTGTTTCTCCCAGGGGCGCTCTTCTGAAGATATCTGGGCTGCCTCAGGAGTCACAGTGTCTTGGGCGGCCAGAAGGTGGGTGGATCTTCTTTTCTTGTGGATCTTCTTTTTTATGTGGCTGTGGACACCTTTCAACACTGCCTTTAAAGCCTTTGCTTTGGCTTCTGCTTTAGGAGGGGCAGGAGCTTCCTTCTTCGCTTTTGGCGCCATCTTGTGAACAGGGTCCAATTCTGTATTTTAATTGGAGTGCTTAGTATATTAACATTTAATATAATTGTCGATATGGTTGAATTTAGGTCTGCAACATTATTGTCATTTTTCCTGTATGCCTCTTGTGTTTTGTTCCCGTGTTCCTCTTTTCTTGCCTTCTTTTGGATTCTTTGAATATTTTTTTGAATTCCATTTTAATTTATGCTTGGGGATGCATCACCTTCCTAGCACATTGATGTATGATCACCTGCCAGGTAGCTCACCTGAGCTTTAGTGTCCAGAGTTTTTACTGAAGGTCTTTCCATACATTTTAATTTCCCTTCAGCCTAAAGCACTTTTTATTTTGTAGTGTAGGTCTTTTGGCAATGAATTCTTTTTGTTGGTGGTGGTGTTTTTTGTTTTGTTTTGTTTATTTGTTTGTTTGTTTTTGAGATGGAGTCTTACTCTGCCACAGAGGCTGGAGTACAATGGCATGATCTTGGATCACTACAACCGGCACCTCCTGGGTTCAAGTGATTCTCCTGCCTCGCCTCCTGAGTAGCTGAGATTACAGGCATCCACCACCGGGCCTGGCTAATATTTGTATTTTTAGTAGAGACAGGGTTTCACCAGGTTGACCAGGCTGGTCTCAAACTCCTGATCTCAGGTGATCTGCCCATCTCAGCCTCCCAAAGTGCTGGGATTACAGGAGTGAGCCACTGCACCCAGCTGGCAATGAATTCTTTTAGATTTCTTTTATCTGAAAATTCCTTTATTTTGCCCCAATTCTTGAAGGCTATTTTCATTGGAAGTAGAATTCTGGGTTGACAGTTTATTTTTTCTTTCAGTACATTACAAATGTTATTTGGCCTCCATAGTATCTGGTGAGAAGTACATGGTCATTTGAGTTGTCATTCCCCTGTATGTAATCTGTCATTTTTCTCTGACAGGCATCAGGTTTTCTTTTTATCTTTGGTTTTCAGCAGTTTCATAATGATTTGTCTACACATAGATTTCTTCATCTTTATCCTGACTGGGGTTTGCTGAATTTCTTGTGCCTGTAAATTAATGTCTTTCACCAAATTGGGGAAAATTTCAGCCATTGTTCTGCAAGATTTTTTTCTGCCCCATTCTTTGTCTCTTTCTCTGGGACTCATTAAAAGTGTCTTAGACATTTTGATGTTGAGGATCTCTTCTATTTTATTTTTTTTCTTCAGATTAGATAATTTCTGTTGATCTAGTTTCAAATTCACTGACTCCTCTGTCATCTTCTAACTGCTGTTAATTTTTAATTTTAGATATTTTAATCAATTTTAGAACTTCCGCATGGTTTATTTGTATAGTTTTTATTTATCTGCTGAGATTTTCCATTTGTTTATTTATTACAGATATATATTTTTCTTTACATGATTATGCATGGTTACAACAGGTGTTTTAAAATCCTTGTCTAATAATTACAACATATGGGTCATCTTGGATTGGGCTTTTGATTGTATGTTCTCTTGAGAAGGGATCACATTTATCTGTTTCTTTGCTTTTCAAGTAATTTGGGATTGAATTCTAGACATTGTGAATATTATGTTGTATAGATGCTGGCTTCTTTTAGCTCCCTCTGAAAACCATTGATTTTTGTTTGTTTGTTTGTTGCAGGCAGTTAACTGGCGGGATGCAAAGGCAATCTTTGATTCTCAAGTCTCAATTTGGGCTCTTTTTGTTTCTTTCCAAGATCAAGATACAATTTATTGGCCGGGTGCAGTGGCTCACGCCAGTAATCCCAGCACTTTTGGAGGCCGAGGCAGGCAAATCACAAGGTCAGGAGTTCAAGACCAGCCTGGCCAATATGGTGAAACCCCGTCTGTACTAAAAATACAAAAATTAGCCGGGCAAGGTGGCAGATGCCTGTAGTCCCAGCTACTTGGGAGGCTGAGGCAGGAGAATCGCTTGAACCCAGGAGGCAGAGGTTGTAGTGAGCCAAGATCGGGCCACTGCACTCCAGCCTGGGAGACAGGGCGAGACTCTGTCTCAAAAAAAAAAAAAAAAAATTTCTTTATTTTACTTGACTAAAATTTCTGTGTTCTTTAAAAAAAAAGAACATATAATAGTTACACATATTTTGGGAGTACATGTAATATCTTTATACCTGTATACAATGTGTAATAATTAAATCAGTATAATTGAGATATTCATCTCCTCAAACTCAGTTTAGATTTTTAACTAGGTTACTTAGAACTTCTCTCCTGTGTATGTAATTCAGGGGTCATCCAGGGATTTGGGCAGAGTTTATTCGCAGAATTTAAGGCTTCCCCTCTCTGCACTCTCCTTTCTGAGATTTCACCATTACTTTCCAGCTGCTGCGGTTGTCCTCAGGTTCTTTAGGACAGAAAGACAGTGACTTCCCTATTAGAGCTTTAGATAGCCTAGGTGCTCTGCCCTTATACTAGAAGCTGTGAAAATAGAAACTCACTCAATACAGTTTCCTGCTTCCACGTGTCAACTAATGTTGGGATTTTCACAAGCGTTGGGTAGTGCAGTTCCCTTAAGTGTTGACTCCCTCCAGAATCTGTATTTTTTTATCCTCCAGTGCATTCAGGTTGTTTATTGTGGTACCTTGTCCAGAATTTATAGTTATTATTTATGGGAATATCGGTATGATTGCAATGAGTTGGGGAGTAACTTGGAGATGAGAAATTTTTTTAATTTTTAATTTTTGTGGGTATATAGTAGGTGTATATATTTATGAAATACATGAGATATTTCGATATAGACATGCAAGGCATAATATTCACATTGGGATTGGGTATCCATCACCTCAAGTGTTTATACTTTCTTTTACAAACAACCCAATTATACTCTTATTTATTTATTTATTTATTTATTTATTTATTTATTTATTTTCAGATGGAGTCTCACTCTGTCACCTGGGCTGGAGTGCAGTGGTGCGATCTTGGCTTACTGCAAGCTCTGCCTCCCGGATTCACACCATTCTCCTGCCTCAGCCTCCCAAGTGCTGGGACTACAGGCGCCCGCCACCACGCCTGGCTAATTTATTTCTGTATTTTTGGTAGAGACAGGGCTTCACCGTGTTAGCCAGGATGGTCTCGATCTGCTGACCTCGTGATCCGCCCACCTCGGCCTCCCAAAGTGCTGGGATTACAGGCGTGAGCCACCGCGCCCGGCTGCTCTTAGTTATTTTTAAATGTACAACTAAATTATGATGGACTGTAGTTACCCTTTGTACTGTCAAATACTAGATCTTATTCATTCTTTCTAACTAATTTTTGTAGCCATTAACCATCTCCAACTTCTCCCCACCCACTACTACCCTTCCCAGCCTCTGGTAACCATCCTTCTACTCTCTGTCTCTATAAGTTTAATTGTTTTCATTTTAAGCTCCCACAAATAAGTGAGAACATGTGAACCTTGTCTTTCTGTGCTTGGTATATTGCACATAACATAGTGACTATCAGTTCCATCCATGTTGTTGCAAATGACAGGATATAACTCTTTTTCATGGCTGAATAGTACCCCATTGTGTATATCTATCAAATTTTCTTTACCTATTCATCTGTTGATGGTCACTTAGGTTGCTTTCAAATCTTGGCTATTGTGAATAGTGCTACAATAAACATAGGAGTGTGGATATGTCTTTGATATACTGATTTCCTTTCTTTTTTAAAAAAAATGTATCTAGGTTCAGGGGTACATGTGCAGGTTTGTTTTATAGGTAAATTGTGTCACAGGGGTTTGTGGTGCAGATTATTTCATCACCCAGGTACTAAGCCTAGTACCCAATGGTTATTTTTTCTGATCTTCTCCCTCCTCCCAACTTTCAGCCTCAAGTAGGCTCCCATGTCTGTTGTTTCCCTCTTTGTGTCCATGTGTTCTTATCATTTAGCTCCCACTTATAAGTGAGAACATGAGGTATTTGGTTCTCCATTTTTGTGTTAGTCTGCTAAGGATAATGGCTTCCAGCTCTGTGCATTTTCCTGCAAAGGACATGATCTGATTCTTTTTAATGGTTGCATAGTATTCTGTGTTGTTTCTGTACCACGTTTGCTTTATCCAATCTGCCACTGACGGGTATTTAGGTTGATTCTATGTCTTTGCTATTGTGAATAGTGCTACAATGAACATAAGTCTGCATGTATGTTTATGGTAGAACAACTTATATTCCTTTGGGTATATACTCAGTAATGAGATTGCTGGGTCAAAAGCGAGTTCTGTTTTGAGCTCTTTGAGGAATAGCCACAGTGCTTTCCACGGTAGTTGAACAAATTTACATTTCTACCAACAGTGTATAAGCAGTCCCTTTTTTTTTGCAACCTCACCAGCATCTGTTATTTTTTGACTTTTTAGCGATAGCCATTCTGACTGGTGTGAGGCGATATCTCATTGTGGTTTTCATTTGCATTTCTCTAATGATCAATGATATTTAGCTTTTTGTTGTAGGCTTGTTGGACACACGTATGTCTTCTTTTGAAAAGTATCTGTTTGGCCAGGAATGGTGGCTCACGCCTGTCATCCCAGCACTTTGGGAGGCCAAGGCGGGCAGATCACCTGAGGTCAGGAGTTCGAGACCACCCTGACCAACATGGTGAAACCCTGTCTCTACTAAAAATACAAAAATTAGCTGGGTGTGGTGGCGCATGCCTGTAATCCCAGCTACATGGGAGGCTGAGGCAGGAGAATCGCTTGAACGCAAGAGGCAGAGGTTGCAGTGATCCAAGATCGCACCACTGCACTCCAGCCTGGGCGACAGAGAAAGACTCCACCTCAAAAAAAAAAAAAAAAAAAGAAAGAAAGAAAAAGAAAAAAAAAAAGAAAAATGTCTGTTCATATCCTTTGCCCACTTTTTAATGGGGTTGTTTTTTCTTGTAAATTTGTTTAAATTCCTTATAGATGCTGGATATTAGACCTTTGTCAGATGCAGTTTGCAAATATTTTCTCCTATTATGTAGGTTGTTTACTCTGTTGAGTAATAGACATTCTTTAATTTAATTAGATCCCATTTGTCAATTTTTGCTTTTGTTATGATTGTTTTTGGCATCTTCATCATGAAATCTTTGCCATTTCCTATGTCCAGAATGGTATTGCCTAGGTTGTCTTTCAGGATTTTCAGTTTTGGGTTTTACCTTTAAGTCTTTAATCCATCTTGAGTTGATTTTTGCATACGGTGTAAGGAAGGGGTTGAGTTTCAATATTCTGCATATGGCTAGCTGGTTATCCCAGCACCATTTATTGAGTAGGAAGTCCTTTCCCCATTGCTTATTTTTGTCAGTTTTGTCAAAGATCAGGTGGTTGTAGGTGTGCAGATTTATTTATAAGCTCTCTACTGTGTTCTATGTGTCTGCTTTTGCACCAGTACTATGCTATTTTGGTTAATGTAGCCCTGTAGTATAGTTTGAGGTAAGGTAATGGGATGCCTCATGCTTTGTTCTTTTTGCTTAGAATTGTTTTGGCTATTTGGACTCTTTTGTGGTTCCATATGAATTTTAAGATAGTTTTTTCTAGTTCTGTGAAGAATATCATTGGTAGTTTGATAAAAATAGCATTGAATCTGTACATTGCTTTGGCAGTATGGCCATTTTAATGATATTCATTCTTCCTATCCATGAGCATGGAATGTCTTTCCATTTGTGTCATCTCTGGTTTCTTTCAGCAGTGTGTTGTAATTCTCATTGTAGAGGTGTTTTACCTCCCTGGTTAGCTGTATTCCTAGGTATTTTATTCTCTTTGTGGCAGTTGTGAATGGGATTGCCTCCAGTCCCTAGTAACCTCAGACTCTCTAGATCCTGAAGGCAATAATGCCTAAGGCTGTGAAAAAAGCAAAGATGGTGGCCTGTCCCTCCTCCTGGGAGCTCTGTTCCAGGGAGGTATAACGCTGCTACCAGTGGCTGGATGGAGTTCCAAGCCAGTGGGCATTATCCTGCAAGGTGCCATGGAAGCAGGGCCTACAGATGGTCACTGCTCAGCCCCCTGGATTCAGCTCCTTTTCTAGGGGTAGAACTTCCCACTTTGCTAGAGTTACAGCTGCGTTTGCCAGGAAGTCCAGTTATCTAAAGCTCCTGGGGATCCATGTATGCCTGAGTGGCTTCTATGCCAAAATTCCACGTAGCTCTGCGTGTCAGAATGCAGACCATGCTGGAGTGGGTTCATAACAGGATCTCCTGACCTGAGGGTTGCAAAAATATATCGGGGACACATGGGTCTCTGGGGTTGTTCACTCACTCACGGAGGCTCCCCTAGCTCTGTGTCACTCCTGGGCAGGCTAATGTCCTACTTTGCTTTTCTCCATTCTCTGTGGGTTAAGTTGTTTTCCTGATAAATCCCAGTGCTTATACCTGGATGACTCAGTTGAAGGTGCTGTATTTACTCGCCGTTTCTATTTCTCTCCATGAGAGTGGCGCATACTAGCTGCTTCTAGTCAGCCATCTTGACCAGCCTTCTCCCTGACTGCCTTTCTTTTGGGTATATACCTAGCAGTGGGATTGCTGGATCATATGGTAACTCTATTTTTAGTTTTCTGAGGAGCCTCCAAACTGTTCTCCACTATTAGTACAAGAGTAGTTGTACTAATTTACATTCCCATCAATAGTACGAAGGTCCCCTTTTCTCCACATCCTTGCCAGCATTTGTTATTGCCTGTGTTTTGGATAAAAGCTATTTTAACTGAGGTGAGATAATATCTCATTGTAGTTTTGATTTGCATTTCTCTGATGATCAATGATGTTGAGCACTTTTTCATATGCCTGTTTGCAATTCGTATGTCTTCTTTTTGAGAAATTTCTACTCAAATCTTTTGCCTACGTTGAAATTGGATTACTAGATTTTTTCTTATAGAGTTAGTTGAGCTTCTTAAATATTCTGGTAATTAATCCCTTGTCAGATGGGTAGTTTTCAAATATTTTCTCCCATTCTTTTTGTGGGTTGTCTTTTCACTTTGTTCATTGTTTCCTTTGCTGTGGACGAGCTTTTTAACTTGATGTAATCCCATCTGTCTGTGTTTGCTTAGGTTGTCTGTGCTTGAGGGGTATGGCTCAAGAAATCTTTACCCAGTCCAATGTCCTGGAGAGTTTCCTCAATGTTTTCTTGTAGTAGTTTCATAGTTTGAGGTCTTAGATTGAAGTCTTTAGTTCATTTTGATTTGATTTTCATATATGGCAAGAGATAGTGATCTAGTTTCATTCTTCTGTATATGGATATCCAGTTTTCCCAGGACCATTTATTGAAGAGACTGTCCTTTTCCCAAAGTGTGTTCTTGGCATCTTTGTTGAAAATGAGTTCACTGTGGGTATGTGGATTTGTTTCTAGGTTCTGTATTCTGTTCCATAGGTCTACGTGTCTGTTTTTATGCCAGTATCATGCTGTTTTGGTGATGATAGCTCTGTAGTATAATTGGAAGTCAGGTAATGTGATTCTTCCAGTTTTATTCTTTCTTCTCAGGTAGCTTTGGCTATTCTGGGTCTTTTGTAGTTCCATATATATAAATTTAAGATTGTTTGTTCTAATTCTGTGAAGAATGTCATTGGTATTTTGATAAGGATTGCTCTGAATTGGTAGATACTTTGGGTAGTATGGACTGTTTAACAATATTGATTCTTTCAATCCATGAACATGAAATATTTTTCCATTTTTGGTGTCCTCTTTGATTTCCTGCATCAATGTTTTATAGTTTTCATTGTAAATATCTTTCACTTGTTTGGTTAATTCCTAGGTATTTAATTTTATTTGTAGCTATTGTAAACAGGATTACTTTCTTGATTTCTTTGTCAGATTGTTTGCTGTTGGCATATAGTTCACCAGGGATATAGCAGTAAACAAAATAGGCAAAAATGTTTTTCCTCGTGGAGCTATATTCTAGTTAAGAAACATAGATAAAAAGCAAATCAAATATATAGTATTATGAAGAAAAACTAAAGCATGGACGCAGAATACAGAATATGATGGAATTGGGCAGAAATGTTAGATTGGTTGCTTTGGAAAGGCTTTACTGAGAAGGTGTCTTTTGAGAAAAGACCTGAAAGAAGTGAAGAAACTGTTCACACGGATTCCTGGGTAGGAGACTTCCCAGTGAATGGCTAATGTAGCTGGCTTCTGTAGTGGGAGCACGCACGATTAGTTCCTTAAACAGCAAGGAGACCAGTGTGGAAGCAGTGGAGTCAGCATGGTGGGTAGGAATGAGATATGAATGAGAAAGACAACAGGTGAGAGAAGGTTATGTAGGACCCTGCAGATTATAGTAAGGGCTTTGGCTTTTACTCTGTGTAAGCTGGGAAACCATTGGAGGATTTGAGCAGAGACCTGACATGTTCTGACTTACATTTTAAGTGGATCACTGTGGCTGCCGTACTGAGAATAGACTTAGGGGGCAAGAAAAGAAGCATAGCTAGAGTTTTGTTATTATTATTGTTATTGTTTAATTTTACTTTAAGTTCTGGGATACATGTGCAGAACGTGCAGGTATATTACATACGTATACATGTGCCATGGTGGTTTGCTGCACCTACCAACCCGTCATCTAGGTTTTAAGCCCCACATGCATTAGGTACTTGTCCTAATGCTCTCCTTCCCCTTGCCCCCCACCCTCCAACAGGCCCAATATGTGATGTTCCCCTCCCTGTGTCCATGTGTTCTCATTGTTCAATTTCCACTTATGAGTGAGACCAGAAGCATGGATAGAGTTTGAAGATCACTACAACAATAGAGGTGAGAGATACGGATGGCTTTCACTAAGGTGGTAACAATGGAGATGACAAAAGATCAGGTTCTCAGTATATCTTGAAAGCAAGCCAACAGGGTTTGCTGAGAGACTAGATGTGGGATGTGAGAGAAGAAGCAAAGATGTCTCCAAGGTTTTTGGCCTGAGCAACTGGAAAAAAAATATGCCATGAACCCACTTGGGGAATATCAGGAGACAGCTTTGGATATGTTAAATTAGCTAGCCTATTGGATATCAAAGTAGAGATGTCAAGTTGGCAGTTAGAGAGAAAGGATTTTGCCCCACAAAACTTTGGAAAGCTTAGAAATTGGGGCCACCGATTTCCATGGACACTAGGTGTGAGAGTAGAGCTGAAAACTGCGTGACTGGTAGAAAAATCTGCAAATATATTAGTTAGACCTCAGGTTCACTATTCCAATACTAGTGAGTTCATTTTTGAAGAAGGTGAACCAGAAAATCCCTGGACTCAGAACACCATGTACTGTGCAAGGCTGGATGCAAACATGGAGGTTAAGTGAAAGTCTACATATTGAACAGTGAGGTCTGCAGCTCCTCATCCCCATGCATTTCTCAGGTTTATATTAACCAGGCAAGCATTTGTAAGATCTTTCTCTGAGTGGCCCAAGAGAACAGACCTGCAGATACTGACATCTGGGAGTCAGTTAGATGAGTGAAGGAAGTCAATTACCCAATCCTCTATAGTAAGCTAATAAATCCCACCCTTGGACTGTTCTTTGGTGCCTTGCTCTTAAAAACCAGTAACAGCCAAAGATCATTGCACATTTGAGAAGGGTCTCTAGTCAGAACTAGAAAAACAAACAGAAAAATATCCCCCCAAAAAAGCATTTCAGAGAAAATAGATATAGAGAAGAAAACTTACAGGGAAAAAATCTCAACCCTAATAGCCACATACAGTAATCCTCAGAGAAAGAAGGTATTGCATCAATGAAAGAAAACAAGACATTGTACAAAAGAAACAATAAGAAAGAACATTTGGAAATTAAAATAGTATCACTAAAATAAAAAAAAATCCAGTGGGAGCAGTAGAAAATAAAGTTGAGGAAATCACTCAAAACAAAAAGTCAAAAAGATGGTAATGAGAGAGAAAAGAAAGATATAATACCAGTCCAGGAGGTCCAAGATCTAATCCTTAGATGTTTTGGAAAAGGATGAACTGGAGAGGGAAAATGCAGAAATAATTCAAGAAAAATTCTCAAAACTGAAAGAACTACAGGTTGAAAGGGCCTACCCAGCTCTCAGCAGAAGGAACATGCAAAGACCAATATCAAGGCACTAATTCCAGAAAACCAATGATTTTTGAAAAGCTTCCAAAACTTCCAGAGAGAAAAATCCGATCACATATAAAGACCAGGAGGTATCAATAGCCACACTGGCACTAGAAGATAACACCACAATGCCTTCAAAATTCTGAGTGAAAAATGATTTTCAACCTAGAATTATAGACCTACCCAAACTATCAGGCCACTCACACTGACCTCATAAACTCTTTTTCTGGGAAGCTGATGCAGGATATACTCTATCAGGAAGGTGTCTGACCCAGGGTCCAGAAGTTAGGGGATTGAACAGAGGAGAGACGCAAAGGGAATTTTCAGGATGTAGCCAAGAAAAGTCCCAGATGAGAGCTGTGTGAACAAGTCTAGGGAGTTATTGGTTCAGATTAGAGCAGAATGAAGGGAATTGTTTATTTTTAATTAGAAAGGGGAACTGATATGTTAGGTGTTTGACTATGTGGAAAATTGTGTCGAGAGACTATTTGAGAATGCAGAAAGATTAAGACTAAGTGGTAAGTACTTTAACAAATGGAGCAATGGAAAACAAGTACTATCTCTCAGAAAAATAAAAAAGGTACAAAAGAAATGAAACTTAATTATAGTACTTGGTTCAACATTTCATGGTTCTAATAATCTGAATCCCAATTTAACCAAAATTATTATAGTCTCTATCGAGAAGAGATGAGGAAAATGAGAAATAATGAGCTGAATATTCAACTTTTATGATATGAAGTCAGCAAATGATTATTAAAATTGAGAAATCATAAAATAAGTAGGAGTTTATTTTACTTAGAAATATGGAGGTTAATACTGGAAAAAATGTTGGAAGCACTGCTGCTAAGGGAGGAGACCATCCCTCATATTGTCTTAGGCCCAATTTCTGCCTCCAAAGAAAGAAGAAGTAAAAACTAAAAGGCAGAAATGAAATCTCCAGGGAGACAGCCCGGCACCACACCCTAGGCCTGGTAGTTAAAGATCGATCCCTAACCTAACCGTTTATGTTATCTATAGATTCCAGGCATTGTAAAAAATCCCTGTCCTGTTCTGTTTTGTTCTGATTACTGGTGTGTGCAGCCCCCAGTCACATACCCCCTGCTTGCTCAATTGATCACGACCCTCTCACACGGACCCCCTTAGAGCTGTGAGCCCTTAAAAGGGACAGGAATTGCTCACTCAGGGAGCTCAGCTCTTGAGACAGGAGTCTTGCTGATGCTCCTAGCCGAATAAACTCCTTCCTTCTTTAACTTGGTGTCTGAGGAGTTTTGTCTGCGGCTCATCCTGCTACACTGCAAGTATTTGTCTCTGGAGAACAAGTGGGATGAGGCGAGATGGGTAGAATGATTAAATTTCCATCATTGGATAATCTGTTTAGTGCTGCTATACATCTTTCCTTAGTGCTCTCTTGGGCCCATCTCAACCCTCTCAAGTGGTAGAAGGGGGCAGGGACAGCAGGAGTTTAAGGCTACCACAATGACCATGATTGCCACCCAGATAGAGAATACAAAATGGGGTTTCACCATGTTAGCCAGGATGGTCTCGATCTCCTGAGCTCGTGATCCACCCGCCTCGGCCTCCCAAAGTGCTGGGATTACAGGTATGAGCCACTGTGCCCAGCCTATCTTCAGTCGATTTTTGTGTAAGGTGAGATGAAGATCCAGTTTTATTCTCCTACATCTGGCTCGCCAATTATCCCAGCACTATTTGTTGAAAAGGGTGTCCTTTCTCCACTTTATGTTTTTGTTTGCTTTGTCGAAGATCAGTTGGCTGTGAGTATTTGAGTTTATTTCTGTGTTCTCTATTCTATTCCATTGGTCTATGTGCCTATATTTATACCAGTATCATGCTGTTTGGATGATTATGGCCTTATAGTGTAGTTTGAAATCAGGTAATGTAATGCGTCCAGATTTGTTATCTTTATTTAGTCTTGCTTTGGCTATGTGGGCTCTTTTTTGGTTCCATGTGAATTTTATAATTGTTTTTTCTAGTTCTGTGAAGAATTATGGTGGTATTTTGATGAGAATTGCATTGAATTTGTAGATTGCTTTTGGCAGTACAGTCATGTTTGCAATATTGATTCTACCCATCCATGAGCATGAGACAAGTTTCCATTCATTTGTGTTGTCTATGATTTGTTTCAGCAGTGTTTTGTAGTTTTCCTTGTAGAGGTCTTTCACCTCCTTGGTTAGGTATATTCCTAAGTATTTTATTTTTTTGCAGCTATTGTAAAAGGGGTTGAGTTCTTTATTTGACTCTCAGCTTGGTCACTGTTGGTGCATGTCAGGCCTCTGAGCCCAAGCTAAGCCATCATATCCCCAGTGACCTGCACATATACATCCAGATGGCCTGAAGCAACTGAAGATCCACAAAAAAAGTGAAAATAGCCTTAACTGATGACATTCCACCATTGTGATTTATTTCTGCCCCAACCTAACTGATCAATGTACTTTATAATCTCCCCCACCCTTAAGAAGTTTCTTTGTAATTCCCCCCACCCTTGAGAATGTACTTTGTGAGATCCGCGCCCTGTCCCCAAAATATTGCTCTTAACTCCACTGCCTATCCCAGAACCCATAAGAACTAATGATAATCCCACCATCCTTTGCTGACTCCTTTTTTGGACTCAGTCTGCCTGCACCCAGGTGAAATAAACAGCCTTGCTGCTCACACAAAGCCCGTTTGGTCCTCTCTTCACATGGACACGTGAAACATTTGGTGCCGAAGATCCGGGTCAGTGGGACTCCTTCAGGAGACCAGTCCCCTGTCTTCACCCTCACTCCGTGAAGAGATCCACCTATGACCTCAAGTCCTCAGACCAACCAGCCCAAGGAACATCTCGCCGATTTTAAATCGGGTAAGTGGCCTCTTTTTACTCTCTTCTCCAACCTCTCTCACTATCCCTCAACCTCTTTCTCCTTTCAATCTTGGTGCCATGCTTCAATCTCTCCCTTCTCTTAATTTCAATTCCTTTCATTTTCTGGTAGAGACAAAGGAGACACATTTTATCTGTGGAACCAAAACTCCGGCGCTGGTCACGGACTCGGGAAGGCAGCCTTCCCCTGGTGTTTAATCATTGCGGGGACGCCTCTCTGATTATTCACCCACATTCCATTGGTGTCTGATCTCCGCAGGGACACCTGCCTTGGTCATTCACCCACATTCCCTTGGTGGCAAGTCAATTGCGGGGACGCCTGCTTTGGCTGCTCACCCACGTTGCAGCCCAGGGCTGCTCCCCACCCGCCTTCTCTGTGTCTCTACCCTTCTCTTTACACTTGCCTCCTTCACTATGGGCAAACTTCCACCCTCCATTCCTCCTTCTTCTCCCTTAGCCTGTGTTCTCAAGAACTTAAAACCTCTTCAACTCTTGCCTGACCTAAAATCTAAGTGTCTTATTTTCTTCTGCAATACCGCTTGACCCCAATACAAACTCAATAATGGTTCTAAATAGCCAGAAATCGGCACTTTTGATTTCTCCATTTTACAAGATCTAGATAATTTTCGTCAAAAATGGGCAAAAGGTGTGAGGTGCCTGACGTCCAGGCATTCTTTTACACATCGGTCCCTCCCTAGTCTCTGCTCCCAATGAGACTTGTCCCAAATCTTTCTTCTTTCTCTCCTGTCTGTTCCTTCAGTCTCCACCCCAAGATATGAGTCCTTTGAATCCTTCTTTTCTATGGACTCATCTGACCTCTCCCCTTCTCCCCAGGCTGCTCCTTGCCAGGCCAAGCCAGGTCCCAATTCTTCCTCAGCCTCTGCTCCCCAACCCTAAAATCCTTCAATCACCTCCCCTCCTCACACCGGTCTGGCTTCCAATTTTGTTCCCACGACTAGCCCTCCCCACCTGCCCAACAATTTCCTCTTAGAGAGGTGGCTGGAGCTGAAGGCATAGTCAGGGTACATGTGCCTTTTTCTCGATCAGACCTTTCCCAAATCAGCCAGCGTTTAGGCTCTTTCTCATCAGACCCCACTAAATATATACTGGAATTCCGATATCTAAATCTGTCTTACAGTTTAACCTGGAATGACTTAAATGTCATCCTAACTTCTACCCTCTCCCCAAATGAACGGGAAAGAGTTTTTTCTCTAGCCCAATTTCACACTGATAACTGCCAGCTTCATGAGCCAGACCTCCATGAAGGCATTAGAGCAGTTCCCCGAGAAGATCCCAATGGAACTATCAGGCAAATTCCCCAGGTATAGCTAGGCGAGATTACATGGTTTCCTGCCTAGTTGAAGGGCTTAAAAAGGCAGCTTACAAAGCTGTTAATTAAGACAAACTTAAAGGAACTACTCAAGGTAAAGACGAAAACCCAGCCCAGTTCATGGCCTGCTTAGGAGCAACCCTTAGACTCTTTACAGCCCCAGATCCTGAAAGGTCAGAAGGCTGTCTTATTCTCAATATGCATTTTATTTTATTACCCAATCTGTTCCCAACATTAAATAAAGCTCCAAAAATTAAATTCCAGCCCTCAAACCCCACAACAGGACTTAATTAGGTGTACAATAATAGAGTAGAGGCAGCCAAGTAGCAATGTATTTCTGAGTTGCAATTCCTTGCCTCCGCTGTGAGACAAACCCCAGCCACATCTCCAGCACACAAGAACTCCAAACACCTGAACCGCAGCTGCCAGGGGTTCCTCTAGAACCTCCTCCCTCAGGAGCTTGCTACAAGTGCCAGAAATCTGGCCACTGGGCCAAGGAATGCCCGCAGCCTGGGATTCCTCCTAAGCTGTGTCCCATCTATGTGAGTCCCCACTGGAAACTGGACTGTCCAACTGGCCCGAGGCTCTGACTGACTCCTTCCCATATCTTCTCGGCTTAGCAGCTGAAGACTGACACTGCCCGATCGCCTCAGAAGCCTCCTGGACCATCGCGGATGCTTTGGGTAACTCTTACAGTGGAGGGTAAGTCCGTCCCCTTCTTAAGCAATACGGAGGCTACCCACTCCACATTACCTTCTTTTCAAGGGTGTATTTCCCTTGCCTCCATAACTGTTGTGGGTATTGACGGCCAGGCTTCTAAACCTCTTAAAACTCCCCAACTCTGGTGCCAACATGGACATTCTTTTATGCACTCTTTTTTAGTTATCCCCACCTGCCTAGAGCTCCCTTATTAGGTCGAGACATTTTAACTAAATTATCTACTTTCCTGACTATTCCTGGGCTACAGCCACACCTCATTGCTGCTTTTTCCCCAGTTCAAAGCCTCCTTCGCATCCTCCTCTCATATACCCCCACCTTAATCCACAAGTATAGGACACCTCTACCCCCTCCTTGGCGACTGATCATGCACCTCTTACCATCCCATTAAAACCTAATCACCCTTACCCTGCTCAATGCCAATATCCCATCCCACAGCATGCTTTAAAAGGATTAAAGCCTGTTATCACTCGCCTGTTACAGCTTGGGCTTTTAAAGCCTGTAAACTCTCCTTACAATTCCCCTGTTTTACCTGTCCAAAAACTGGACAAGCCTTACAGGTTAGTTCAGGATCTGGCCTTACCAACCAAATTGTCTGGCCTATCCACCCCGTGATGCCAAAGCCATATACTCTCCTATCCTCAATACCTCCCTCCACAACCCCTCCATAACCCATTATTCTGTTCTGGATCTCAAACATGCTTTCTTTACTATTCCTTTGCACCCTTCATCCCAGCCTCTCTTCGCTTTCACTTGGACTGACCCTGACACCCATCAGGCTCAACAAATTACCTAGGCTGTACTGCTGCAAGGCTTCACGGACAGCCCCCATGACTTCAGTTAAGCCCAAATTTCTTCCTCATCTGTTACCTATCTCAGCATAATTGTTCACGAAAACACACATGCTCTGCCTGCTGATCATGTCCAGCTAATTCCCCAAACCCCAATCCCTTCTACAAAACAACTCCTCTCCTTCCTACGCATGGTTAGGTACTTCCGCCTTTGGATACCTAGCTTTACCATCCTGACTAAACCATTATGTAAACTCACAAAACCAAACCCAGCTGACCCCATAGATCCTAAATCCCTTTGCCACTCCTTTCCGTTCCTTAAAAACAGCCCTAGAAGCTGCCCCCACACTAGCTCTCCCTAACTCATTCCAAACCTTTTTCATTACACACAGCCAAAGTGCAGGGCTGTGCAATCGGAGTTCTTACACAAAAGCCAGGACCGCACCCTGTAGCCTTTCTGTCCAAACAACTTGACCTTACTGTTTTAGCCTAGCCCTCATGTCTGCATGCGGTGGCTGCTGCTGCCCTAATACTTCCAGAGGCCCTCAAAATCACAAACTTTGCTCAACTCACTCTATACAGTTCTCATAACTTCCAAAATCTATTTTCTTCCTCACACCTGACACATACACTTTCTGCTCCCTGGCTCCTTCAGCTGTACTCACTCTTTGTTGAGTCTCCCACAATTACCATTGTTCCTGGCCTGGACTTCAATCCGGCCTCCCACATTATTCCTGATACCACACCTGGCCCCCATGACTGTATCTCTCTGATACACTTGGCATTCACTTCATTTCCCCATGTTTCCTTCTTTCCTGTTCCTCACCCTGATCACACTTGGTTTATTGATGGCAGTTCCACCAGGCCTAATCGCCAAACACCAGCAAAGGCAGGCTATGCTATAGTATCTTCCACATCTATCATTGAGGCTACCGCTGTGCCCCATCTCCACTACCTCTCAGCAAGCCGAACTCATTACCTTAACTTGGGCCCTCACTCTTGCAAAGGGACTATGCGTTGGTATTTATACTGACCCCATATCCTGCACCACCATGCTCTTTTATCAGTTTCTTCTATTAATTGATTTTCCAATTTGTTGGCATACAATTTCTCATTATAGCCACTAATGATCCTTTGGATTTCTGCAGCATTGGTTTTGGTGACTCCTTTTATTATCTCTGATTTTATTCATTTGGGTCTTCTGTATTTTTTTTTCTCAGTTAGTGTGGCTGAAGCTTTGTCAACTTTGTTTATCTTTTCAAAAAAACCAACTTTTCATTTCATTGATCTTCTGTAGTGTTTTCTTCATTTCAACTTCAGTTATTTCTGCTCCGATGTTTATTATTTCTTTTTTCTACAAATTTAGGATTTGGTTTGCTCTTGCTTTTCTAGTTTTTTAAGAGGTGTCATTAGATTGTTTATTTGAAGTTTTTCTACTTTTTTGACGTAAGTGCTTATTATAGCTACACACTTTCCTCCTAGTACTGCTTTCACTGTATCCCACAGGTTTTGGCATATTGTTCCTGTTATTTTTTCAAGAAATTTTTCAATTTTCTTCTTAATCTCTTAATTGGTACACAGGTCATTCAGAAGCATATTGTTTAATTTCCATGTGTTTTTATAATTTCCAAAATTTCTCTTGTTATTGATTTCTAGTTATATTTTATTGTGGTCGGAGAAGATACTTCATATTATTTCAATCCTTTGGAGTGTTTTAAAGCTTTTTTTGTAGGCTAACATATCTCTCCTTGAGAACAGTGCCAAGGAGAAGAATACATATTCTGTAGCCATTGGATGAAATATTCTATAAATATCTGTTAGGTCCATTTGGTCTATAGTGCAGATTAAGTCCAATTTTTTTTTATTGATTTTCTGTTTGGATGATCTGTCCGCTGCTGGAAGTAGGGTACTGAAGTATCCAGTAGTTATTTTATTGAGTCTATCTCTCTCTTTAGTTCTAATAATACCTTCTTTATACATCTGGGTGCTCCAGTGTTGGGTGCATATATTTTTATAATCATTATATTTTCTTGCTGAATTAACCTCTTTATTGTTATGTAATGGCCTTCTTTGTCTCTTTTTACAGCTTTTGTCTTAAAATATAATTTTGATATAGTTATAGCTACTCCTTCTCTTTTTTGGTTTCCATTGGTAAGGAATATCTTTTTCCACCCCTTTATTTTCAGTCTATGTGTGTCTTTTTAGGTGAAGTGTGTTTCTTGTGGGCAACAAATTATTGGGTCTTGTTTTTTCACCCATTCAGCCACTCTACGTCTTTTGATTGGAGAGTTCCGTCCATTTACATTCAACGTTATTATTGATAAGTAAGGACTTACTCCTGCCATGTTGTTATTTGTTTTCTGGTTGCTTTGTGGTCTTTTCTTCCTTCCTGTGTTCTTTTTGGTGAAGGTCATTTTCTCTGGTGGTATGTTTTAGTTTCTCATTTTTAATTTTTGTGTATCTGTTGGTTTTTGGTTTGAAGTTACCATGAGGCTTGCAAATAATACATTATAACCCATTATTTTAAACTGATGTCAAATTAATGCTGATTGCATAAACAAACAAGCAAGCAAAGAGAAAACTAATAAAAACTCTACACTTTAACTTCATCCTCCACTATTTAACTTTTTGTTGCTTCTATTTATATCTTATTCTACTATGTCTTTAAAGAGTTGTTGTAGTTATTATTTTTGATTAGTTCATCTTTTAGTCTTTCTACTTAAGATATGAATAGTTTCAACACCACAATTACAGTGTTATAATATTCTGTGTTTTTCTGTGTATTTAATGTTACCAGTGAGTTCTGTACTTTCAGATGATTTCTTATGGCTCATTAACGTCCTTTTCTTTCGGATTGAAGAACTCTCTTTAGCATTTATTTCCTTCAGACAGCTCTGATGTTAATGAAATCTCTCTGTTTTTATTTGTCTGGGAAAGTCTCCATTTGTCTTTCATGCTTGAAGGATATGTTCACTAGATATACTATTCTAGGGTAAAAGTTTTTTCCTTCAGCACATTAAATATGCTATGCCACTCTCTTCTGGTCTGCAAGGTTCCCACTGAAAAGTCTGCTGCCAGATGTATTGCGGCTCCATTGTATGTTATTTGTGTTTTTTCTCTTGCTGTTTTTAGGATCCTTTCTTTACCCTTGACCTTTGGGAGTTTGACTATTAAATGCCTAGAGGTAGTCTTTTTTGTGGGTTAAATCTGCTTGGTTTTTCTATAACCTTACTGTACTTGAATATTGATATCTTTCTCTATGTTTGGGAAGTTCTCTGTTATTATCCTTTTGAATAAACTTTCTACCTCTACCTCCTCTTTAACACCAATAACTCATAGATTTGCCCTTTTGAGCCTATTTTCTAATTCTTGTAGGTGTGCTTCATTCTTTTGTCTGTTGACTCCTTCAACTATGAATTTTCAGATAGCCTGTCTTCAAACTCACTGATTTTTTCTTCTGCTTGGCCAATCCTGCAAAAGCCACAGTGTTACTGGGCTTGGGATGCCTCAAGTGCAGATACAGTTGCGGTGACCAAAATTTTAGATCAGAAAACCCAAGTCCCTCCAAATTCTTGGAAAGCCTACCCAAGAAGTATGGGTACAAACAAGCTCTGACTGCAAAGGCTACAATAAATACCTAATTCTTCAATGCCGAGACACCAATGAACGTTTATAAGCATCAAGAACATCTGGGAAAATGTGACCTCACCAAATGAACTAAATAAGGAACCAGGGGCCAATCCCAGAGATACAGAAATATGTGACCTTTCAGACAGATAATTCAAAATAGCTGGGGTTTTTTTTTCCATGACACAGCCTTCAGGAGGTCCTGAGAACATGTGCCCCAAAATAGCTGTTTTGAGGAAACTCAATGAAATTTAAGATAACACAAAGAAGGAATTTAGAATTTTATCAGATACATCTAACAAAGAGATTTAAACAATTAAAAAGAATCAAGCAGAAATTCTGGAGTTGAAAAATGTATCTGTCATACTCAAGAAAGCATCAGACTCTCTTAATAGCAGAATTGATCTGCCTTGTGGTCTTTGATGAGATCTGAAAGAATTCTCTGGGTTACTAGGCAGAGGCTCTTGCTCTCTTCCCTTACTTTTTCCCAAATAAAGAGCTTATCTCTCTTTGCTGATCTGCCTGCAGCTGGGGCAGGAGTGACACAAGCACCTCTGTTGTCTCCGCCACTGGAATTGCACTTGGTTAGACCTGAAGCCAGCCTAGCCCTGGGTCTCGTCAAGGCCCACTGTGACCACTATCTGGATACCACCTATGTTCGCTCAAGGCCCTAGAGCCGTGCAATTAGTAAGTAGTAAAGCTAGCCAGACTCATGTCTTTCCTTTCAGGACAGCAAGTTCTCCCAGCCCTGGGGAGGTCCAGAGATGCTATCTAGAAGCCAGTACCTGGAGTCAGAAATTTTAGGAATTTGCCTGGTGTTGTACTGCTGCTGAACTGACACCCAAGCCCCATGTCAAAATCTTCCCCACTCTTTCTTTCCCTTTCCACAAGCAGAGGAGTCTCTCCCCATGGCCACCACCACCACAGGCCCACAGGGTCAAAGGTGGGGTACTGCTAGGATACCACCAATGTTCACTCAAGGCCCAAGGGCTCTTCAGCCTGCTTGTGGTGAATGCTACCAGGCCTGGGTCTCACTCTTCAGGGCGGTGGGCTCCCTTCTGGCCCAGGGCAGGTCCAGAAATGCCATCTAAGGGCGTAGCCTGGGATCAGGAACCATAAGTGCCTGCTTGGTGCTCTACTCTACCATGGCTGAGGTGGTACCTATGCTGTAAGACAAAGTCCATTTTACTCTGCTTTAGAAAAGCAGAAGGGATCTCTCTCCATAGCCACTATAGCTGGTAATGTGCTGTGTCACACCAGAAGCCAGCACATCTTACAGTCTCATCCAAGGCCCATGGTGTGTACTACCTGGCTACCACTGTTAATTATTCAGGGCTCAAGTGCTCTTTAGTCAGCAGATGACGAATTCTGCCAGGATTGGGTCCTTCCCTTCGAGGCAGTGGGTTCTCTTCTGGCCCAAGGCATGTCTAGAAATGTCATCCAGGACCTAGGGCCTGGCATCAGGCCTCAGGACTCTGCCCAGTGCCCTATCCTACTGTAGCTGAGCTGGTATTCAAGACAAAGCCCTCTTTACTCTTCTTTCTCCTCTTCTCAAACAGAAGGAAGGAGTCTCTCTTGGAGTTATGAGCTGCACTGCCTGGGGTTGGAGGAAGAGTAGCACAAGCACTCCCTTGGCCACCCTGGCTGGTATCTCACAAGGTTCATGCCCTAGTAAGACACTGACTCTGAGCCTAGCATAGCACCAGAACTTGCCTAGGAGTTGCAGTCCTTGTGGCCTAGACTGACTTTCAAGTTTATTTGGGACCCCAGAGCACTTCAGCCTGCAGTGGTGAGGCTCGCCAGAACTCAGCTTCCAGCCGCCAGGATGGATGATTCCCCTTTGGCTAGGGGTGGTCTAAATGCTCCTCTGTGGGCGTTGGCTGAGTTCTGCCCAGTGTTGCTTTCTGCTGTGATAAGGCAGCACCGAGTTCCGATGCAAAGTCCCACAATCACTCTACTCTCCCTCTCTGAAATGCACAAATTCTCTGTACCACATGACCACTGCCAGGGATGGGGAAGGGATGGCAACAACTTGAGACTGTCTTTCCTACCCTCTGCAGTGCCTCTTTCAGCGATATAAAGTTAAAACCAAGTTCTGTGATCACTCACCTGATTTTTGGTTCTTACAATGGTGCTTTTTTGTGTGTAGACAGTTGAGGCTTCTATTCGGCCATCTTGCACCACCTCCTGTCAAGAGCATGAGGACAGAGCAACAAGGTCATTGCAGATGGAGTGGAGTTCAGTAGCCGTGGAGGTAGAAACCAGAACTCAAAATGATATAGCAGAACCTATATCATTTTTGACTGGTTGAATTGGAGTCGCCTGCTGTCCAGAAGGCAGCAGGAGGGAGGACAATTGGTGGAGGCTTCTATCTGGCCATCTTGCTCCACCTCCAGGATTTCTTTTTGGGGTGATAAAAATGTTCTAAGATTGATCATGATGATGGTTGCACAATTCTGTCAATACACTAAAAACCATTGATTGTATACTTTAAATGGGTAAATTGTATGAGATGTGAATTATATCTCAGTAAAGATGATATATGTCTAAATACATTACATTTACATATAAAAAATAAATATAGACCTGACATGGTGGCTCACACCTGCAATCTCAGCACTTTGGGAGGCCAAGATGAGAGGATTGCTTGAGCCCAGGAGTTCAAGGCTGCAGTGAGCTATGACCACATTACAGTACTACAGCCTGGGTGACAGAGTGAGACCTTGTCTCTCAAAAAAAAAAATATGTGTATATATATAACATATAATGCATAATAATTGTACATGTAAAAATATCTTCATATATTTAAATTTAAAATATATTATTAGAATTTTATATTTATATATTTTATACATTGTTTTATAATTTTATATTTTATGTAAAAATGCATTATAATATATATTTGTATATATATATATATATGTATGTGTGTGTATATATATATAAAACATGGACGGCTGGATATGGAACACTGGGACTCAACATCCACTCTACCCTCCTCCTGTGTACTTTCCTACATTGCAGTTTTCTTTGCAGCTAGGGCTTCAGCTGTGATTCGCATTTTGACAATCAGATGCATTGCAAGAGATTTCTAAGAAAGAGGGAAGGTGGAGTCTGGGCTTCCTTCTTCTTTCTGTTGGCCAGCCCAGTCCTGGAGGCTTTGGGATTATCTGAGTATAACATCAGCAGAGGTCCCAGTTTCCCATCACTAGCTTTGTGGTAACACGCATAGCTTTTTCTGCTTTCATTTTGGCTTTATTTACTGATATAGCTCTATCTTCCCTGATACCTGCACCTGTGCATTCTCACTCATCCCTACCCAAGCTCCTTCTTCCCATCAAAGGCAATTCTATTCAGCCCTCCATAGCTTTCTTTCATAGCATTCCCATTCCTACTTCTTCTTTCTTTTTCTTTACTTCCTAAAGCCTCTTCTCTCCTCTCACCCCCACATATAAATTTGTGCATGTCTCTCCCATTAAAAAAGCAAATAAACAAACAGAAAATCTCCTTTGACCCTTTAGTCCTTTCAAGTACACCTCGCTTTTCTTTTCTCCTCACAGTCAAACTTCTGGAAGGAGCCATCTAATCTTGCTGGTGTTGCTTTGCATCGCTTCCCATTCTCTCCCTACTCTGCTTCAACCTGGCTTTTGCCTCCACTGTTACTGAACTCCACTCCATCTGCAATGACCTTGTTGCCCAGTCCTCATGCACTCAACAGTCAGCACTGTAGGCCCCTCCCTCCTCCCTGAATCCCTTTGAATCCTTGATTTCCATTGGTTCTCCTTCCTGAATCCCTTTGAATCCTTGATTTCCATTGGTTCTCTTTCCTGAATCCCTTCCAATCCTTGATTTCCATTGGTTTCCTCTGCCTTTGTTTTCCTCCTTCTTCCATTGGCGCACCTTTTTTGTCCTCTCCATCAGCATCTTTTCCTCCTTCCATTTGCTAAAGGTAGGTGTCTCCCAGGGTTCTGGCAGAGCCCTTTCCTTTTTTTCAGGGTAAAATCTTCTCTCTGGGGAAATCATTGTCAGATGACTTCCAACTCTCCATTTCCAGCAGGACCACTCTCGTGAAATCTAAATTACTTATCTGCCTTCCAGACAGCAGGTGACTCCAATCCAACCAGGCAAAAATAAAACTTCACCAGCTTGCCCTCCCCACCTCCACTCACCTCCATTCCTCTGATATATCCCTATCTTAGTAAATGACATCACCAGCCTCCCACCACCCAAGCCAGAAACCTGGAAGTCACACCAGCTTGTCCCTCTTCTTCCCACCTTCATTTCTTCAACAAGTGTTTGTTGAGCACCTACCATGGAAGAGAAAATTCCAGGTGATGGGTGCTATGGCATTGAACAGAACAGACGGTCTCTGCTCTAATAGAGCTTATCTTCTATTAGGGGAGAGAAGATTCAAACAAAATAGTTTGGCTCTATCAGGTGGTGAAAATAAACAAAGCATGGAAGGCAGTTGTGAATTATGCTTGAGATTGCTACTTGTGTGGGATGAGCAGAAAAGGTTTCCTCTGTTTTTTTAATTATTATACTTTAAGTTCTAGGGTACATGTGCACAATGTGCGGGTTTGTTACATATGTATACACGTGCCATGTTGGTTTGCTGCACCCATTAACTCGTCATTTACATTAGTTACTTCTCCTAATGCTATCCCTCCGCCTGCCCCCCACCCCACGACAGGCCCTGGGGTGTGAGGTTCCCCGCCCTGTGTCCAAGTGTTCTCATTGTCCAATTCCCACCTATGAGTGAGAACATGCGGTGTTTGGTTTTCTGTCCTTGTGATATTTTGCTCAGAATGATGGTTTCCAGCTTCATCCATGTCCCTGCAAAGGACATGAGCTCATCCTTTTTTTATGGCTTCATAGTATTCCATGGTGTATATGTGCCACATTTTCTTAATCCAGTCTACCATTGATGGACACTTGGGTTGGTTCCAAGTCTTTGCTATTGTGAATAGTGCCACAATAAACATATGTGTGCATGTGTCTTTATAGTAGCATGATTTATAATCCTTTGAGTATATACCCAGTAATGGGATGGCTGGGTCAAATAGTATTTCTAGTTCTAGATCCTTGAGGAATCGCCACACTGCCTTCCACAATGGTTGAACTAGTTTACAGTCCCACCAACAGTGTAAAAGCATTCCTATTTCTCCACATCCTCTCCAGCATCTGTTGTTTCCTGACTTTTTAATGATCACCATTCTATCTGGTGTCTCATTGGTATCTCATTGTGGTTTTGATTTGCATTTCTCTGATGACCAGTGATGACGAGCATTTTTTCATTGTCTGTTGGCTGCATAAATGTCTTCTTTTGA
The DNA here is from genome assembly GCF_000001405.40 of Homo sapiens. NCBI lineage: Eukaryota > Metazoa > Chordata > Mammalia > Primates > Hominidae > Homo > Homo sapiens. The sequence continues at coordinate 6,725,063 of NC_000017.11, read as the reverse complement.
GAAGTGTCTGTTCATATCCTTCGCCCACTTTTTGATGGGGTTGTTTTTTTCTTGTAAATTTGTTTGAGTTCTTATAGATTCTGGATATTAGCCCTTTGTCAGATGGGTAGATTGCAAAGGTTTTCTCCCATTCTGTAAGTTGCCTATTCACTCTGATGGTAGTTTCTTTTGCTGTGCAGAAGCTCTTTAGTTTAATTAGATCCCATTTGTCTATTTTGGCTTTTGTTGCCATTGCTTTTGGTGTTTTAGTCATGAAGTCCTTGCCCATGCCTAAGTCCTGAATGGTATTGCCTAGGTTTTCTTCTGGGGTTTTTTATGGTTTTAGGTCTAACATTGAAGTCTTTAATCCATCTTGAATTAATTTTTGTATAAAGTGTAAGGAAAGGGTTTTTTTTTTTTTTTTGAGATGGAGTCTTGCTCTGTCACTAGGCTGGAGTGCAGTGGAGTGATCTCAGCTCACTGCAACCTCCGCCTCCCAGGTTCAAGCGATTCTCCTGCCTCAGCCTCCCAAGTAGCTGGGATTACAGGTGCATACCACCATCCCCGGCTAATTTTTTGTATTTTTAGTAGAGATGGGGTTTCACCATGTTGGGCAGGCTGGTCTCAAACTCCTGACTTCAAGTGATCCACCAGCCTTGGCCTTCCAAAGTGCTGAGATTACAGGTGTGAGCCACCGTGCCCAGCCCAGAAAAGGTTTTCTTATAAGATGAGACTATTTAGAGATCTGAAAGAAGTAAGGGAGCCAGCGGTGTGGATATCTGTGAGGACAGCATTGCAGGATGAAGGGACAGCATTTGCAAAGGTCCTGAGGTGGGAGCAGGCATGGCGTGCTCCAGGATGAGCAAGGAGGAGCAGTTCAGGTAGAGTGAGTGAGGCAGGGAGAGGTAGGAGGAGAGGACAGAGGTAGCAGGAAGCCAGATCACATTAATATGGTTTGGATTTGTGTCCCCACCCCAGAACTCATGTTGAATTGTAACCACAGTGTTGGAGGTGGGGCCCGATGGGAGGTGACTAGGTCGTGGGGTGGATCTTTCATGAATGGCTCAGCACCATCTCCTTGGTGCTGCCTCATGATAGAGTTTTCACGAGCTCTGGTTGTTTAAAAGTGTGTAGCCGAGGCACAGTGGCTCACGCCTGTAATCCCAGCACTTTGGGAGGCCGAGGCAGGCGGATCACAAGGTCAGAAGATCGAGACCATCCTGGCTAACACGGCGAAACCCCGTTTCTAATAAAAATACAAAAAATTAGCTGGGCATGGTGGGAGGCGCCTGTAGTCCCAGCTGCTCAGGAGGCTGAGGCAGAAGAATGGCGTGAACCCGGGAGGCGGAGCTGGAAGTGAGCCGAGATTGCGCCACTGCACTCTAGCCTGGGCGACAGAGTGAGACTCTGTCTCAAAAAAAAAAAAAAAAAAAAAAAAGAAGTGTGTAGCATCGGTCAGGCATGGCGGCTCACACCTGTAATCTCAGCAGTTTGGGAGGCCGAGGTGGGCGAACCACGAGGTCAGGAGTTTGAGTCCAGCCTGGCCAACATAGCAAAACCCCGTCTCTACTAAAAATACAAAAAAATTTGCTGGGCATGGTGGCAGGCACCTGTAATCCCAGCTACTCAGGAGGCTGAGGCAGGAGAATCGCTTGAACCCGGGAGGCGGAGGTTGCAGTGAGCCGAAATCGTGCCATTGCACTTCAGCCTGGGTGACAGAGTGAGACTCCATCTAAAAAACCAAAAACAAAGAAACAAAAACCGTGTGTAGTGCCTCCCCCTGCGCTCTCTCTTCCTCTTGTTCCAGCCATGTGAAGATGCTTGCTCCCGCTTTGCCTTTCACCATGTATGAAATTTTTCTGAGGCCTCCTCAGAAGCCAAGCAGATTCCAGCATCATGCTTCCTGTACAGCCTGCAGAACTGTGAGCCAATTAAACCTCGTTTCTTGATAAATTACCCAGTCTCGGGTATCTCTTTATAGCAATGCGAAAATGGACTAATACACACATGACCATTTTGAAGGCCTCGGGTTTACGGTGAGTGAGGTGGAAAGTCGGTGGAGGGTTTTGAGCAGAGAAGTGACATGATTGGAATGATCATTTAAAAGGTTGTCTCTGGGGGCTGTTCTGAGAATAGACTGAAAAGAGGTAAGTGTGAAGGCAGGGAGATCAGTTAGAAATCCAGGCATGGAGGCTAGATCAGGTTAGTTCCCATGGAGGTGATGAGAATAATTGCATGATAGATATATTTAGAAGTTAGAGCCCAGAGGACTGGGTTGGAAGCCTGGATGTGAAAGAAAGTCAAGAATAATCCAAGTGCTTTGGGGGAAGACGGAGTCTTACTCTGTCACCCAGGCTGGAGTGCAGTGGCATGATCTTGGCTCACTGCAACCCCTGCCTCCCGGGTTCAAGCGATTCTCCTGCCTCAGCCTCCCAAGTAGTTGAGATTACAGGCACGTGCCACCACGCCTGGCTAATTTTTGTATTTTTTAGTAGAGACAGGGTTTTGCCATGTTGGCCAGGCTGGTCTTGACCTCAAGTTATTCACCCACTTCGGCTTCCCAAAGTGCTGGGATTACAGGTGTGAACCACTGCTCCTGGCCCAGTCCAAGTGCTTTTGGCCTGAGCAATTGGAAAAACAAAAAAGGACTTTCTATTTACTAAGATGGGAAAGATTGCAGTTTGGGCTGGGGAATGGTATTCTGGAGTGATTTTGGACATGTTAAGTGCGAGATGCCCATTACAAATTCAAGTAGAGTTGTCAAGTAGGCTGTCGGAGATGCAAATGTGGAGTTAGGAGAGAGGCTGGGGATGGCCTGGAGATGTACATTTGGGAGCTGTCTACATGTGATGGAGTTTAAAGCCATAAGACTTGATGAAATCAGGGAGGAACTGAGCCCTGGGACACTCCAATGTTTGGAGTTTCAGAAGAACTCAACTCGCAAAAAAGACTGAGAAGAAGCCGCTGCGATGGTGGGAGGAAAACCAGGGAGTGTGGTGTCTAGAGGCAAGTGGAGAAGGTGTTGTAAGAGACAGGGCTCAGTATTAACAGACGCTGCCAAGGGGGAGAGAGAGAAAAACTGAAAGGTGGCCATTAGATCAGTGATTTGGAGGTGACTGGTGACCTTGACACTTGGTCTGAATGGAGTTGCACAATCCTGATTGGAATGGGTTCAATGGAGAATGGGCGAAGAAAAAGTGAAGACAGTGAGTATAAACAACTCTTCCCAGGAGCTTTGCCACCAAGGCCACAAGAAAAATGGGTGAGGGACGAGTGTGTGAGGAAGAGAGGGTTTTGTTGAGATAGATGTTACCAAATGTGTATACACTGTTGAGAATCTTCCAAGTAGAGAGGAAAAATTTGTCCCACAGAGTCTTTTTCTGAAATATCTCACACTAATCCTCTCCTTCCATTCCCAACACAGATGTCTTATTTGGGATTCTGACAATTTTCTTTAAAAAAGAAATCTTCGTCTAATTTAATTCAGAGGGTAAACTTTATATGGCATCTTTAACAATGATATGCAATGTGCCATAAAAATGTACACATTTGTCAGGGGCAGTGGTTCACACCTATAATCCCAGCACTTTGGGAGGTCCAGGTGGGCGGATCATGAGGTCAAGAGATCGAGACCATCCTGGCCAATATGGTGAAAGCCCGTCTCTAGTAAAACTACAAAAATTAGCTGGGCATGGTGGCAGGAGCCTGTAGTTCCAGCTACTCGGGAGGCTGAGGCAGGAGAATCGCTTGAACCTGGGAGGTGGAGGTTGCAGTGAGCAGAGATTGCGCCACTGCACTCCAGCCTGCCAACAGAGGGAGACTCGGTCTCAAAAAAAAAAAAAAGTGCACATTTTACTGATGGAAAGATATCCCCCCAACACAAATATTTTCATCTTTTCTATTGCTGAATGCCTCTGGAGGGGGGAAAAAGGACTTAAGATTTGCATGCCATTCAGCAAAAAAAAGGAACTGAATAGAGTGAAGGGGAAAATGTGAAACCTCACTCAGCCCAAAGGAAACTGTGGATTCAAGGCTACTAGTACTACAGTGACACACAACTTTGGACCCAGCATCAATTTGGAAAGAGATCAAAGTTTGCATTTTAATTCAGATGTCATTTATATACACAGTGATAAAAAGAAATTTGCCTAAGTGAAAAACACACAGTACAGCCTTTTCTTCCTGGGCTGCTCTCTCTCTCTAACGTAACAACCTCTGCTTCCAGAAAAAAAGGATCGTGTAGGAGGGGACTACATTTTCAGTATGCGGGACATCAGCTCTCCTTATTTTGTCGGAAATACTTTTTTTTCTTTATCTTATACCTTGCACCTCATGAATACATTTCTAGTATTAAATGCATGTGGGCACCTTTTAAAATGTTAGAAATATTTATTGTGCCATCTTTAAAATATTTTTAAAATAATAAAGGATAATATGATAAACATCTCTGTATCATAGCCAGTTACAAATAATAAAACACTTCAGATACAGCTGAAGTGTCACTCTTTAATCGCATGCCCTCCCCTGCCCACAGATTAAAGCTAAACTAAATTTGGTGTTTATTTATCACTACATTCCTTTTGTTTCTTTTTTTTAGAGACAGGGTCTTGCTCTGTCTCCCAGGCTGAAGAGCAGTGGCGTGATCATAGCTCACTGTACCCTTGAACTCCTGGGTTCAACGGATCCTCTTGAGAAGCATCTTTTAAGACCCAGTATAGTCAGAAAGATCTTGGGTAATAAAAATGTTAACTTCAACACACCTTCGCCAACATAATAGAAAAATGATTTTCTGGTAGTATGTGTTTTAAATGTACTTTCATCAAAACCTTGGAGCTACAAATTTAGCTCAGCTGGTTATGGGAAGCATCCTCTGTAAACCCTAATTGGCAAAGTTAGTCTTTACTGTCAAATTAAATATCTGAATCAGACTTAATTCCTGCCCCAAAAAAGAGTCTGATTTCATTTTCCAATTTGAATATGTATGTTATCATCCCTGTGACAACCATCTTCGAATGTATATAACTCATAGAACTGAGCTCTTCAAACTCACATAAGTTGGTACCATTTTCACACACTTTAAAGAGAGAGATACAAGTGTCTTGCCCTGGACTTAATAATATTTACTGTGGGTGGTAGATTATATTATTTGTTCACAATTATTAATTCTCCCCACGTTTGCCACCCCTCCCTGTAGACAGAGTATATTTCCCCCACTCCATTGATTTTGGACTTGGACATGAGACTTGCATTGGCTAGTAGAAGGTGAAAGAGGTGAACATGCTGTCCCTGAGCAGAAGATTTTAGAGGTACTGCAAATTCCCACCAGCATTCTTGGCTCCTGTCATGAGAACATGTCCCCAAGAGCCTCTGCTTCCTCAATCTGGGTGAAGCCCCTCCACAGTACAGAACGAGAAGACTATGGAGCCCCCCCCCACCATTTCCCTACAGCCTGGAGCAGAGTTGCCAAACCACAGGCTCCCAGCTGACTTGCAGCACCCCCATAAATATAGTAGCTGTAAGTCTACCCCAGGGAACGCTGACCAATACTCTCTTCTATTGACAACATCCAGGACCTGCCTTTTTTAGCAATCAAAGCTTGTTTACAAATAAAACAGTGTTCCCAAGTTAAAATGTGGGGAAAAAAACCTGATAAGCCTACTCTATTGACCAATGGAGCAGCTCTGTCCATAGAAATACTCACATACCATGCCCAAGTAAGTGTAAATAAACTTACTTACTTAAGTGAGTTTAAATAAGTAAGATTCAAATGAAAGCATCCAAAATCTAAGAAAATCCTAGTCACCTGCTGCACTTCTTGGCTTGTCTGCATGTCGCGATCTCATCACAATGAGCCATCACAGCTCACTGCGACCTCCACCCACTGGGCTGAAGCGACCCTCCCACCACACCTGGTTAAGTTTTTGTATTTTTAGTAGAGATGGGGGTCTCATCATGATGCCCAGGCTGGTCTCGAACTCCTGAACTCAAGCGATCCGCCTGCCTTGGCCTCCCAAAGTGCTGGGATTACAGGCACGAGCCACAGTGCCTAGCCTAGTATCACAATTTTCTTAGCTACCAATATCAGCCATAAAATGTGAGCTGGGGCCAGGTGTGGTGGCTCATGCATGCAATCCCAGCACTTTAGGAGGCCAAGGCTGGCGGATCACGAGATTAGGAGTTCGAGACCAGCCTGGCCAACATGGTGAAAGCCCATCTCTATTAAAAATACAAAAATTAGCTGGGAGTGGTGGCAGGTTCCTGTAATCCCAGCTACTCGGGAGGCTGAGGCAGGAGAATCGCTTGAAACTGGAAGGCGGAGATTGCAGTGAGCCAAGATCGCACCACTACACTCCAGCCTGGGCAAAAGAGCGAAACTCTGTCTCAAAAATAAATAAATAAATAAATAATAATAAAATAAAAATAAAAAATAAAAAAGCTGGAAAGAATTGAATTCATCAGTCTGAGGTATATTTTTTATTTGCCACAAATTAAAACTGCTTTTTATTTTGAAATAGTTTCACTCATCAGGTGTTACAAAATAGTACAGAGGGTTGCCATCTACCATTTCTCCAATAACTGCAAAGGGAACCTGAGGTCAAATGGATGTAACACGCCACATTTTAGAATTTCTATACCAAAAAGTAGGTTTTTACTCTCTCAGTTTTAAGATTAAAATTGTATTAAATGATTCTCAAGTGGGGAAAAAAGTTGCATCACACAGTTACATACTATGTACCATTATAACTAAATATTCCCAAATAGTTTTATGTAGATCAGTAACATACTGTAAGTTAGGGAATAATTTATTTTTGTGTTCGAGAAGTATATTCTAATGTTTGGATTTATATTTTTAGAAATACTGTTGTAAGACCTGAGAAATTCAGAAGACAATCTGACAATAGTGTAGCCGGACAAGCCGCAGACAAAACACCTCAGACACCGAGTTAAAGAAGGAAGGGGTTTATTCGGCCAGGAGCATTGGCAAGACTCCTGTCTCAAGAGCCGAGCTCCCCGAGTGAGCAATTCCTGTCCCTCTTAAGGGCTCACAGCTCTAAGGGGGTGCGCGTGAGAGGGTCGTGATCGATTGAGCAAGCAGGGGGTATGTGACTGGGGGCTGCATGCACCGGTAATCAGAACAAAACAGAACAGGACAGGGATTTTTACAATCCCTGGAATCTATAGACAACATAACCGGTTAGGTCAGGGGTGGATCTTTAACTACCAGGCCCAGGGCATGGCGCTGGTATGTCTGCCTGTGGATTTCATTTCTGCCTTTTAGTTTTTACTTCTTTCTTTGGAGGCAGAAATTGGGCATAAGACAATATGAGGGGTGGTCTCCTCCCTTAATAGGTTACTAAAAGTAGCCACATCAAGACAAAATTATCGTGATCTAATATACTTTATGCATTTTATGGTAAGTTACCAATACAAGATCTAAATTCGGATGCACTTTCTTTTTCATTACTTCATTTTTTATAGTGCAATGAAATATGTGGCTAAAATTTTAAGTTATCTGTGAAGTAGAAGTATGACAACAGGCAGGGCTTTTCTTTCGTAAAAAAATCTGTGTGCATAAATTGAACTCATGTTCAGCTCTTGGGAATAATTAAATAAGACTCATAAATTAAAAAATCGGAAATAGGTTGGGCGCGGTGGCTCATGCCTGTAATCCCAGCACTTTGGGAGGCCGAGGTGGGCAGATCATGAGGTCAGGAATTCGAGATTAGCCTGGCCAATATGGTGAAACACCATCTCTACTAAAAATACAAAAAAAAAAAAAAAAAAAATTAGCCAGGCGTGGTGGCACGCACCTGTAGTCCCAGCTACTCGGGAGGCTGAGGCAGAAGAATTGCTTGAATCCGGGAGGCGGAGGTTGCAGTGAGCCGAGATTGTGCCACTGCACTCCAGCCTGGGTGACAGAGTGAGACTCCATCTCAAAAAAAAAAAAAAAAATCAGAAATAACCTTATTATTAGAAATTATGCTCAAACTTCTCCTACATGTATTTAGCATACTTAGTGAAAGAAAAATGTCTATATTGCTAAAAACTAATTGATCCAGCAACTGAGAGTACACTTTGGATAGATCACTCAATCTCTGTTGTAAATAAAGTTTCCATGCAACCATGGGTCTATTTCTAGGCTCTATTCTACTCTTTTTCTAACCTCATGTCAATAGTTAATGATTACATCAACTATTACAAGTTAGTCATTCTTGAAGTCTAAATGGCAATTTCCCCCGTGTTTTTCCAGAAGTGTCGTAATTATTCTTGGCTTACCTGCTATTCTACCTGAATTTTAGGCTTGTTAACTAAAAATCCTGTTGGGATTTTAATTGGAATTGAATTGAATTTATAGGTTAATTTGAGAGAAATGGATAGTCCTACAATGTGTGGTCTCCCTATCCGTGAACTTGGTATAATCTCTCCATTTATTTAGCTTGTTGTTGTTGTAGCACTTTGGCCTTGGAATTTTTCTTAACAATCTTAATATTCTTTTTCATTTGGTGCTAACTTTGACTATCCTCCACTGCTGCCTGGCAAATTATTACTTAGCCATTAAGTTTTTTTTTTTTTTTTTTTTTTTGCAGGGGGACGGAGTCTGGCTCTGTCACCCAGGCTGGAGTGCAGTGGTGCGATCATGGCTCACTGCAAGCTCTGCCACCTCCTCTGTGAAACCTTCCTTCATTACTTAGGCAGAGTTGGTGGATCCTTCTCTTAAGGCCTCACCAACCAGGGTATTTTGCATACAATTGCAAGAATGGATATTTACTAACAGCTGACTATATGCCAACGCACTGAGTTAAGCTCTGACCATGAACTCATATAATCTCCAAAACAGCCATTTAAAATCAAAGTTGGTGCTATTATCTCCATTTATGACAGGATAAGCTCATAGAGAGCAACTTGTCTGAGGCACACAGCCAGGATGAGCTAGGGCAAGATATAAGCCCAGGAACTCTAGCCTCAGAGTCCATGCTCTGGTGAATCCCTTTGGAAGCAGTTGTATTAAGAACAGAAGTTGTACTTTTACATTGTTGGTGGGAGTGTAAATTAGTTCAACCATTGTGGAAGACACTGTGGCGATTCCTCAAGGATCTAGAACCAGAAATATCATTTGACCCAGCAATTTTATTACTGGGTATATACCCAAAGGATTATAAATCATGCTGCTATAAAGACACATGCACACTATTTACAATAGCAAAGACTTAAAACCAACCCAAATGTCCATCAATGATAGACTGGATAAAGAAAATGTGGCACATACATACCATGGAATACTATGCAGCCATTAAAAATAATGAGGTCATGTCCTTTGCAGGGACATGGATGAAGCTGGAAGCCATCATTCTCAGCAAACTAACACAGGAACAGAAAACCAAACACCACATGTTCTCAGTCATAAGTGGGAGTTGAACAGTGAGAACGCATTGACACAGGGAGGGGAACATCACACACGGGGGCCTGTCAGGGGGTTGGAGGGCAAGGGGAGGGAGAGCATTAGGACAAATACCTAATGCATGTGGGTCTTAAAACCTAAATGTCCGGTTGATAGCTGCAGCAAACCACCATGGCACATGTATACCTATGTAACAAACCTGCACATTCTGCACATGTATCCCAGAACTTAAAGTAAAATTAAAAAAAAAGAAAAGAAAAAAGAACTGAAGTTGTTTACTTGCTCTCATTCATGCATCCCGGAGAAAAAGGTTTGAGTGCACATCCTGGATTAGGCACTGAGAAAGGCACTAGCTGGACAGGTGGTGATGAATAAAACAGACAGTAAATAGAAATTACATCATAATAATGTGTCATATATTTTAAAATAGCTACAAGATATTTTAAATGTTCTCACCACAAAGAAATGACAAATATTTGGGCCAGACGCGGTGGCTCACGCCTGTAATCCCAGCACTTTGGGAGACCGAGGTGGGCGGATCACCTGAGGTCAGGAGTTCGAGACCAGCCTGGCTAACATGGTGAAACCCCATTTCTACTAAAAATGCAAAAAATTAGCCGGGCGTGGTGGTGCACACCTGTAATCCCAGCTACTTGGGAGGCTGAAGCAGGAGATTTGCTTGAACCTAGGTGGCAGAGGTTGCAGTGAGCCGAGATCGTGCCACTGCACTCCAGCCTGGGTGACAGGAGCACAACTCTGTCTCAAACAAACAAACAAAAAACAAAAACAAGAGAAATGATAAATATTCGAGTGATAAATATGCTCATTAGCCTGATTTGAACACACCACAATTATACACACATTGAAAAATCACATGGTACCCCGTAAATATAGACAATGATTTGTCAATTAAAAATGAAATAACACTTAAAAAATAAAAAAGTAAAAAGTAAAAATTACACCAATAAATATAAGAGGTACAAATTGTGCTAAGTGCCCTGGGGACACAGGAAAGGCGGGAAAACCCAGGGCTATATGCATGAGAGTTACAAAGGGAAAAGGACAGGAGGGAGGCAATTGCAGGAGGGGCTTGGGAGAATGCATGTCCTTGGGTGCAGGTCACAGGAAGGAACTCATGAGCTTGATTCAGGATGTGTTGAATTTTCGGGCCGAGACACGTCCAGTCTGCGGAAGGCTGGACATCTGGGACTCTGGCATCATGGCTGGGTTGAAGGCAGAGGATGGTAATCACTAAGGAGCCGGCTGTGGTTAGGCCACCAGCATGGATGAGACTCCCCAAAAGGAAGCTGCAGAATGAGAGGCAGGCAGAGGAGAGGAAAGAAGAAAATCACAGAGGTGGGGATGTCTTTGCATCCGTGTGTCTCCAGTGCCCAAAACAGGGCCTCGCGGAGAAGAGGTGCTCGGCACCTGTCTGTTGCCTGGCGGGCTGAATGAATACATGGGCGACTGTCTCAGTGTCGCCTTAGTTGTGTCCCTTCCTCTCTAGAGCTCCGTTTCCCTCTGACCTGGGTCGGGCGGGCAGCTGCGGCTGCTGAGGCTCGGTGGGGCCCCTCCAAGACGCGTGTCCGCATCTGCCCGCCGGGCGTCTGCGGGGTGCAGCGTCCACTGGAGCGCGACAGCCCCTGGGACAGAGGAGGACAGTGGCCTCGCTTCCCTGTGCGATCGCCCAGGAGCTCCGGGCCGGAGAGTGCGAGCGGGGAAAAGGGGTCCTGCACCTAGAGTGGGGCGGACGTGGCGAGGAAGCCAGGGGGGACCGGGAAGCGAGGCCCGCGGTGCGGAGGGCGCGGGGCGTGGGGGGACACCTCTCGGAGAGACACCGGAGGGGCGGAAGTAAGGAGATGGAAAGGAGAGGGAGATCGGGGAGATAGACCTGAGAGACCCAGAGGCCTGCAGAGAGTTTCATCCGGGACCCTTCAGAGCCCAGGAAAGAGCAGATGCGGACGCGGGAGGGCGCCTTACGCCAAAGCGGGCAGCACCAGTGACCAAAACACGCCCCGCTTGGCAGCCCCGGGACGCACCTCTGCCTCGGCAGCGCAGGAGAGGCTTGGACAGCGCGAGATGCTAGGGCCCAGGCTGCCCCTAGAGGGCTGGCCCGAAGCGTTGGAGTCCAAAGACGCCTCCCACCGCCGCCGGGTGGCAGAATTGGGGGCAGGCGCGTCCCACAGACCCCGAGGGGTGGCCCCGCCCCAGGGCCGCGGGGAGGCGCCCCCGTGCGGGGCGGAGTTGTCACCGCCCCCTCCCCAATCCCCGGGGACTGTGGCCCCTTCTTAAGCCCGCGGCGCCTCTAGCTGCCCCTCACTCGTCTCGCCCGCCAGTCTCCCTCCCGCGCGATGGCCTCGGCGCTGAGCTATGTCTCCAAGTTCAAGTCCTTCGTGATCTTGTTCGTCACCCCGCTCCTGCTGCTGCCACTCGTCATTCTGATGCCCGCCAAGGTCAGTTGCATCTCCAGGCAGCCCTTCGGACACCCGGCGTCCTGTGCCCACTAACGGGCACCGATCCCGGGAGCCCTGAGCTGGAGCGCACGGATTTCGCGGGGAGCACAGCTCTCCCGGGGCGCGCGCACTCAGGAGCTCCAGGTGCCGGATGGGAGGTGCCCTGTAAAGAATCTGAGGGGCATGGCGACCCCAGGGCGCACCACCCTTGGGGTTTACAGATCCCAGGGCGCAAGAGCCGTCCAGGCAAGCACGGAAACCTCGAAGTGAGCACAGATCTCAGCCACACAGATCCCAGCCTTAGGCTCAGCCCCTGGCTCCGAATCGAATCTCCCACAGTGCATAACCCTGTTTCCCCCCAAAATGCCACCTGCGCCAACAGGGAACCTGGGAGCTTGCCTTTCCCTCTCTCTCTCCTGTCTTTTCCCTTCGCCAAAGAAGACTTCAAGCTGTAGGTGGCTTCTGCCGTCAGGAGGGACCTACAGGAAAAAAATCATCACCCACGTGGATCCTGCGCTGTCTTTGCCACTCTCTGGCCCTTCCTTGGGCCTTAGTGTCTCTATCTATGATCCACATTCCTTCCAACCTGGAGAGCCACATCTGATTCATAATCCTGCTCCAGGCTGCAGGCAGGTTGGGGTTGGCCTGCTTTGCCTCCTGCCTGCTGGGGCTGTAGCAGGAGGCGGGACACATTCCCAGAGCTCGCGCCTTGGGTGGCAGGACCTGGAGTTGCAGGGAAGCTTCCTCCCAGGCCCTAGTCTCCTAATGCTTCTGTGAGGGAGAGAGAGAATGAATGGCCTTGGCCGCAGGGTGGGCGCAGGCTCCACTGGGCTGTGCACAGCCAGTTTGGCGGAGGCCCAAGCCCTTTGAAGCCTTTTGTGGCTGCTGGCTGCTCCTTCCTCGTTCCTTCTTTCAGCCCTTTCACTCTCAGCCCAGACAGGAAACCTCCAGCTCCCCACCTCCCCTCCCCAGGCAGGTTTGGGAAACAGAGGAGCTCTTCAGGGGATGCTCTGGGGGGGAGCTCTAGAGGAAGGGAGTGCACTGGGGTGTCAGGAAGCCAACCTGCAAGAGAACTGGACTTCCACCATTCTGTCATCTGTGTGACTTTAGCCAAGTGCCTGTGCTCTCTGGGCCTTGGTGTTCTCATCTGTACAATGGGGCTAGGTGGTTTGGTTCTGACACTTTAAGGCTTTGGGAATCAAAAGGGATTAACGTTAGTTCCTAGGATGGGGGAGGGGGAGACTGGGAGGAGCCCTTGGGTGGGCCTAGCACAGGCCCTGGATGGGTCAAGGACAGCAGATCCAACTGTGGAGGCTGTGCAGTTGCCACACCAACTGTGGGCAGCCACACTTCCTCTGTAGCAAGAAGTCTGGGGTTGTTATTGTCCAGGGGAAGTAGCCAGGCAGGAGAGCTGCGATTTCAGCTCTGCTGGTAGGGAGTGATGTTCCCTGGAATGATTATAGTAGCTTGGCTGACCTTCCTGCCACAGGAGACCCCACTCACACACACACACATACACACTCTCTCTCTCACACACACACACTCACAAACACACACAGACACACACACAAACACACAGACACACACAAAACACACGCACAAACACAAACACACACAAAAACACACGCACAAACACACACCCAAACACACAAACACAGACACACAAACACACACACAAACACACACACAAAACACACAAAAAACACAAACACACACATACACATACACACACACACACACACACACCCTGAACTGGAAACCCTAACTCAGTGTGTGTGTATGTGTGTGTATGTGTGTGTGTGTAAGAGAGAGAGAGAGAGAGATTAAGCTGTCCTTTGAGTGAGGACCAGGGAGGGGAAGAAGAGAACCCAGGGAGAGTCCTTCCAAAGGCTGCCTTCACGAGCTTTCCTTCTGGCGGGGTTGGGTGAGGACCCTGGACCTTGTCTTCTTGTTTTTTCCCTTTCTGCCTGTTTTGGTCACCCTGCCCCCACCCTCCATGGCCGCCCCATTGTGCAAGGAAACCCAGAGGGTACACAGCACGGGCAGGGCAGCTGGGAAGCTGGTGAGAAGCTGGGAGGACCTTGGCAGCCTGAGCAACACAGTCCTTGCCAGGAGGTGACTCCCAGGGCACGCCACCCTCTGCCAACACCCAGGCCTCTCTCCTCACCGACTGTCTCCAGTTTTCCTGTCTCCACCTGGATTCCCTCCTGGCCTCATCTCTGCTCCACTCTCTCTATCCTTCCTCTGGGTCTTTTTTTAATTGAAAAAAAATTTAATGAAATAAATGATAGATTTCTTGTATCACTTATTTTATTAAAATGTAAAAGGTTTCTTTTTTGCAAATCTGTAAGATATAAAGTAAAAATAAAAGTACACTCAAATCCCATAAGTTATTCACATTTTGATGAACATCTTTCCAGATGAATCTCTCTCTCTCTTCCCAGACACACACACACACACACACACACAGTAGGTTTTGCCTGCATTTTTTCATTAAGTGGTGTGTCAGGACACCCTGCCTTGTTAATGTTGAACTTTTCTAACATCCGCTTCCCATCCTGCCCTCTCCCTTGACACTGTGGAGGCATTCTAGACTAGGGGGGTCAAGCCTGTTGACTTCAGGGATGAGGCACCTCCTGGGCTTCTAAATAGTGGCGCGGAGGTGAGGGGGCAGTTAACCTTGTGTCTCGTCCTCTTTCCTAGTGGGTCTGCTTGACTCCTCCAGGAACGCACAGTGTACATTGGTGACGCACGCCACCTACTGCTTCTAAGTTTAGAGAATCAAAAGTTACCGAGGACTTTGTGCGCCATATGGGAAGAATGAGCACTCTTAAATCCACGATTTGCAGATGAAGACATGAAACAAGAGGGGACAGGGACCAGGATTGGGAGCAGGAGGAGTAATTTATGAGCGACATTGTTTAGAATTGCTATCACTTGATGATAGTAAGAAGCAAACTAATTTTTAGCTAATATTATTGTTTTAAAATTCTCTCCAATGCGCCCTCTCATTGTCTGCCCCTGGAGGCATCATTCTGATGGCCTGCCCAGGGTACACCCCGACACCAAGCCCCAAGGAAGTTAGTGGCTGCCAAAGGCCAGACAGTGGCTGACAGTGGGCGCCAATCATATCTGTCTGGTGTCAAAGCCTGGGCTTCCAGTCACGCTGCTGTTCCGCCTTTAGTTCAGCGGCTGTCAACCAGCATTGACCCTTTCTCCTGCCCTCACCCTGCCCCACAACAGGGGAACTTTGGCAAAGTACAGAGACATTTTTTGCTGTCCAACCTGGAGACAGTCTTACTGGCATCTCATAGGTGGAGGCCAGCGGTGCTCTAAACACCCTGCAGTGCACAGCTCCCACAACAAAGCATCATTTAGCCCAAAATGTCAGTGTGCCGAGGCTGAGGGACCCTGCCTCCCAGTAGGGAGGTGCCCTGGTTTGCTCGTGGGATGCTGAAAAAAGATTTATTTTTTTGTGGCTGATAACACAACCCTGACAAAGAATTTCCAAGTCTTCCTGCACTGTTTTGTGCAAATAATACATACGCTCTTCTGGGTGATGAGAAGCAGGGATTGTGTACAGGTGCATCTGTTCTTCAGCAGCATTGTCAGAGTTAAACTCAGATGAATGCTATTGATTCCTTTAATAAACATTTGCAAAGATGGCCGGGCACAGTGGCTCATGCCTGTAATCCCAGCACTTTGGGAGGCCGAGACAGGTGGATCACGAGGCCAGGAGATCAAGACCATCCTGGCCAACATGGTGAAATCCCCTCTCTACTAAAAATACAAAAATTAGCCGGGCGTGGTGGCGCTTGTCTGTAGTCCCAGCTACTCAGGAGACTGAGGCAGGAGAATCGCTTGAACCTGGGAGGTAGAGGCTGCAGTGAGCCAAGATTGCACCACTGCACTCCAGCCTGGGGACAGAGCAAGGCTCTGTCTCAAAAATAAGTAAGTAAGTAAATAAATAAATAAATAAATAAATAAGCAAGAATTTGCAAAGATATCCTAAGTGTTGGGCCTGTTCTGGATGCTGAGGACGGTGATCTACAAATACAGCAGGTTCTTGAATAATGTTGATTCATTCAATATCATTTCATTATAATGTTGATGAGGGAGGGAAAAAAAAGGAAGGATCCCTTGAGCCCAGGAGATGGAGGTTACAGTGAGCTGTGACCGTGCCACTTCACTCCCACCTGGGCAACAGAGCCAGACCCTGTCTCAAAAAAAAAAAAAAAGAAATAAAAGAGCGAGAGAGAAAGAAAAGAAAATGATTACTGGCTGGGGCCACTGTCTGTGTGGAGCGTGCACATTACCCTCATGTCCACATGGCTTTTCTTTGGCTAGTATGGTTTCCTTCCACATCCCAAACCCGTGCACGTTAGGTGAATTGGAGTGTCTGTATGGTCCCTGTCTGAGTGAGCGTGGGCGTGCGTGTCAGTGTGCATTCTGCAATGGGATGGCATCTTGTCCAGGGCTGGTTTCCACCTTGTACCCTGAGCTGCCGGGACAGGATCTGGTCACCCAAGACCCTGACCTGCTGTAACTGGGTAAATAATTATCTAACTTGTTTTCAATGTTTCTTAAGTATATGTATAGCTCACATTCCCTTCAGTGTTTAATATTGGAAGTGTTTTGGTCTTTATTTAAGATCTCCGTGATGTTTTTGTGACCAGAAATATGCTGTAGAAATTTAACTGTTGTTTCTAGCAATTTGCCTATGGGAATATTGGCTTATGTTGTTTCGCTTACGCATTGCAATTTCCAAAAACCAATCAATGATGTTAAGTGAGGACTCACTGTACTGTTTGTGCTTTCGAGTCACGCACTGGTTGTGGTGGTAGAAGGACAGTTGAGGAAACAGTGACAACTCCATATGCTAATGGCTGGGGAGGGTACTCAGAGGAAGGGCACAAACCAGACTATAGAAGAGGCGCAGGGAGACATCTAAGAAGGAACTCTGAGGTTGGGCGCGGTGGCTCACGCCTGTAATCCCAGCACTTTAGGGTGCTGAGGTGGGCGGATCATGAGGTCAGGAGTTCGAGATCAGCCTGGCCAATGTGGCAAAACCCCGTCTCTACTAAAAATACAAAAATTAGCAGGGCGTGGTGGCAGGTGCCTGCAATCCCAACTCCGGAGGTTGAGGCAGGAGAATCGCTTGAACCCGGGAGGTGGAGGTTGCAGTGAGCTGAGATTGTGCCATTGCACTCCAGCCTGGGCAACAGGATCGAAACTCTGTCACACACACACACACAAAAAATACTGATGAAACATAAAACAACCTAGGGAGGTGGCTAGTTTTATCACATAATTATTATTACTTTTATTTCAATAGCTTTAGGGGTACACGTAGTTTTCGGTTACATGAATGAATTGGATAGTGGTGAAGTCTGAGATTTTAATCCCTCCCTCCTATCCCACCCTGTCTGCTTCTAAGTCTCCAGTATCCATTCGACCACGCTATATACCTCTGGATACCCATAGCTTAGCTCCCACTTATAAGGGAGAACATGCACTATTTGGCTTTCCATTGCTGAGTCACTTCTCTTAGAACAATGGCCTCCTAGGCGGCAAGAGCGACACTCCATCTCAAAAATAAAATAATAATAAAACCAAAAAAACCAGGTATTTTATTCTTCTTCTCCTTCTCCTCTTCCTCCTTTCTTTTCTTCCTTCTCCATCCCCCTTCCTCTCTTTCTTCTATCCCCTCCTCCTCCTTCTCCTCCTTCTCCTTCTTTCTCCTTTTCTTCCTTGTCCTATTCTTGATCTTTTCTTTTGAGAGGCAGCTAATCCAAGGTTTGAGAAGATGAAAGAACGTGCCTAGAACCACACAGCTGGGAAGGAGGGAGGCAGGGAGGAGGGGTGGGAATGGGGCAGGAGTCCTTTGCGAATAGATCCCTGGCCTGACCCGGGAAAGCTGTGCTGACCAGGGCTGGGGAACAAGATGACTTTGAGGGGAATCCCTCTGAGATCAGCACTGTGTCTTGACAATCCATGCCAGCCGCCGTCCGGAGTGTTCTGGGGGTGGGGAGAGGGAGGCGGCAACACGCTGAGGCCTCAGGACTGTCTCTTCAGTTTGTCAGGTGTGCCTACGTCATCATCCTCATGGCCATTTACTGGTGCACAGAAGTCATCCCTCTGGCTGTCACCTCTCTCATGCCTGTCTTGCTTTTCCCACTCTTCCAGATTCTGGACTCCAGGCAGGTGAGCAGACCCAAGGGATCCTGGTGACTTTCTGGTTCTCCCCTTCTCTCTTTCTCTAGTCCCCACTGTGAGTCGCACAGGCCTGGGGGTGACCGGAAAACCCTCATTTGTGGATTCTCCCTGGCAGGGAGACACCACTCGAGCCTGCATCCCCACTCCAAGCTGTCCCTGAAGTCAGCATCTGGGGACTGGGTGGCTCTAGTGTGTGGCAAGGGACAGTCCTGATGAGGCCTTCGTGCCACGCTCCAGGTGTGTGTCCAGTACATGAAGGACACCAACATGCTGTTCCTGGGCGGCCTCATCGTGGCCGTGGCTGTGGAGCGCTGGAACCTGCACAAGAGGATCGCCCTGCGCACGCTCCTCTGGGTGGGGGCCAAGCCTGCACGGTAATTACGCCTTCTCTCTCTTGCCACGTGGCTCTGCATGAGCCCCAGGGCTGGAAGGGGGTGGAGGATGGCACAGACCAGGCCATCCACTGGTGAGGGCTGGCCATGGGCTTACCTGGACTTGGCTGGGTGGGGTGCGTTATAGCTTTAGTGGGAGAGACCAGATGCATGCGTGGTGGTGGCACATGGTGAGCAGCAGTAAGTAAGGGTCCTCGAATCCAGAGGAGGTGGGTCAGCAAGAGTCCTTGCAGGCTTGGAAGGCTTTCTGGGGGAGGCAGCTAGCTGCAGGGTTCCACCGGGAACAAATTGGATAGAGGCTGGATCAAGCTGTGTCTGATAGGATAAGGGAAGCAGGCCAGAAGTGGCTCAACTACCCAGCTCATGGGGAAGCAGAAAGGTCCTCTCTCCAAGCTGGAGCATCTATTCCCACTGCAAAGAAGCTTCTTATCTTCCCCGATATCACTCAGTACCCCAGCTTCTCTCTCCATTTCCAGGATCTCTCCTGCCAATCTAGCTAGCCATTTCCAGCTAAGCCATGGAGTCAATATAATCATAATCATAACCATAATCAATCATGATCATAATGGGTATATTGAGTGTCTACAAGGCCCCAGGCATGATACCAGGAGCTTATGAATTGCCTCATTTAATTCTTACCACAACTCTGAGAGCTGAGTATTCTTACTGCCCACATTCTGTGGATGAGGGATTGGAGGCAGAGAGGGATAAAGTGATTTGCTCATGGACACACGGGGATTGGACCCAGCTTCTCTGATAAGGCCTGTGTCCTCTCTAATCAGAAACTCAGGGCATATCTTCCTTTTGAGACAATGTGTCCCCTCAATGATGGCACGTCCTTGGCCCAGCCATCAGGAGTCAGCTGCTGGTCAGTTTACGGTAAATTCCTCCTGAGGCGCCCCTGTGTCAGGGGCTGTGCTAGACCCTGAGCACACACAGACGCTAGCCTGCCCTGCAGGCAACCCATGCCCGGGGCTCCCTTGGTGCCTCAGATTCCCCTGAGCAGGGGACTTTGTGGCTCTCTGATCTGTTACACATCCTGGCATTGATTCCTTCCAGTAATTGCTTTAGCATCAAATCAAAAGCCATCATATTTTCTAGAAATGAGAGACCCCAGGAAAGTGGACCTCAGGGCCCTCAGAATTCTTCTGCTTGGCTCCCTTGAGTGGCCAGCTTGGGTGGGAGGCCACTCCAGTGGGTTTCATTCTGCAGCATGCTGGAGAGCTTCCACTTCCAAACCCAAGTTCACACATGCTTCTGTATCCTTCCTGCCACCTTGCTCCTCTGAGTATGGTCTCCGGTTGTCCAAGGCACTGCCTGTCCTGGGAGTCACCTGTATGTGAGGCACCCTTGGTGCCTTGAGATATCATGTAGAAGCCTTGGTTCTTCTCAGACAACTCCATTCATGCAAACTCTCCCCCTCCTCCTAGCCTGGGTCCCGGGCTTTGTTTTTTTTTGGGTCCATAATGTCTGCCTGTGTGGACAGCAGCTTGGGCCCTGGTGCAGAACAGCTCCTAGGTCCCTTCTTCAGGCTCCTACCCCTGCCCCTGCTCCTACCCCCAGGTGAATTAGGAGCCCTGAGGAGGAGCCTGGCTGCAGCGAGGCCCACAGACTGAGAGTAGCTGAGCTCCTTCTGTCCCTAGCCTTGGACAGCTGGGGCATGTAGAGCCACAGAGCAGAGTCAGGCCCTGCCCTGCTCACAGCCCAAGGAGAGAGCAGACATGGAAACAGGTGCTTTGAACCCAGCACAGCGATGATTAGAGTAGGGGGAAGGATTGAGAAGGGTCAGGCCAGCCCCACCTGGTGCACACACTGAGAGCGTGGTCCCAGAGGAGGGATGTTGTTTGAGCAGGCTCTGAAGGACCATGAGGAGTCTTCCTGATAGACAGCAGAGAAGGGAGCAGGGGTTACAAGCAAAGGGAGTGTTTCTTCTGAATACTGTTTGTGTGATAGCTCCACTGCAGCATGGAGGGGTCAAAGTGTATGTGCGGGGCGGAGGGGAGATGGCAGGGTTGGAGTGGCAGCCGGGAGAATAGTCACACTTTCCCAAGCTCCCTCCCCAGCTCACCCTACCCCTACTCTGCTTAGCCCTTCTGAACTTCTGAGAGGTGCAACAGAGTTTGGGGGTGGGTGGGAATTTCCTAGCCAGAAGTGGGAAGCTGGGGCTGCCTGCACATAGGGGTATTCCAGCACACCCTAGGGCAAGCTCATATTGAGTTGGCACCATCTGGATGCCTGGGCTTCCCCTGCTAGATGGTGGGGCAGGGGTGCTCCTTAGAACCACGACTGGATCTGAGGCCTCTTGGTAACCCCAGAAGCAAGCAGAGTAGACATCAGTCATGGGTGTGGGAGAGGCAGGAGGGAGAGAGGAATGGAGGAAGCAAAGAAGGGAAGGAGGGAGGGAGGGGAGGCTCTAAAACCGTCATCCCTATTCCAATATCTGATCTTGAATTGGCCTCAACACCTGTGCATCCCTGCAGGGGTGGACCCAGTCCCCAGTTGCTTCCCAGGGAGTACGGGGGTGGGGTGGGGATTCTCTGGCTTTCCTCCCTGCCCCTCCTCTGCAGGCTGATGCTGGGCTTCATGGGCGTCACAGCCCTCCTGTCCATGTGGATCAGTAACACGGCAACCACGGCCATGATGGTGCCCATCGTGGAGGCCATATTGCAGCAGATGGAAGCCACAAGCGCAGCCACCGAGGCCGGCCTGGAGCTGGTGGACAAGGGCAAGGCCAAGGAGCTGCCAGGTGAGCCCCTGGCCAGGGCACTGCCAGGCCACAACAGCAGCCTTCCCCTCCCTCTGCTGGCAAATGCTTTGGCCACCTCCTTCTCCCTGTCTGCTTCCCGGAGCCCTCCTTTAAACACGCATAGAGAAAAAAAAATAGAAAATACTGTTGTCCTAAGTTTTAGGAGGGGATTATTGCACACAACTTAGATCCTTTAATAGAGCTTTGAACAAAGTCTCACCCTCAGTTCCCATCAGTTGCAGAAATCAGTGTGTTCACCTGATTATTCATTTGGGCATCTTTCGAGCACTTAGGGATGCCCCTCACTCCTTGCTACTCCTGCTCATCCTCAAGGAGGCCTTTTCTGACCTCCTCGAGCAGCTCAAATCCTTCCACTCTCTGCTCCCATAGGTCTGGGGCTTGGCGTCCCATGCTTGCTTCCCTGCTAGGTGCGAAGCTCAGGGAAGACGAGTCAGCATCTACCTTGCCGTCTGCCGTGTTCCCTTACCATCCCCAGCCCAGTGCAGTAGAGTCAGGGTCTGTGGCTGACGGCCTGATTGCCAGACCCTGGGCAAGGTCCTGGGGCTTACAGAGAGGAATCGGGCACATCCCTGCCAGCAACTCTTATGGAGCCCAGTGGGGCAGCTAAATCAGCAGAGCTGGGAT